>NC_000003.12:167493452-167644967 GCF_000001405.40 Homo sapiens | reverse complement strand
AAAGAATGCTACATAAATAGCTTCTAATCATGTGAAAAGGCACCCAAACTTGTTAAGAATTTGATTTGATACTCTAATCAGAAAGAAGACGTTCTTTTTATAATCATCAGATTGGCAAATATTAAAAAGATCAATAACATTCACTGATGGTGAAGAACCAAGGGAATAGGCACTCTTACTAAGATTGTAAATTGACAAAGCTTTTCTGGAAGGCAATTTGCCTTTATATATCAAATATAAAATGTACCACATGTATACTTTTTAATCAGCAATTCTAATCCTCCAAGCTTCCCTAAATACATTCTGAAGTACAGAAAAAAATACATGCAAAAATATGATTGTAATATCACTTACAAACTGGAGTATTTATAACCCAAATATTCATCAACTGGATGAATGGATAAGTAAATTGTGGTATACTCCTATTACTCAGTTATTAAAAAGAATAAGGAAGACTTATGTAAGATTGCCCAAGATTTGATGTTCAGTGAAAACAAGAAAATCACAGAATAATGCATAATCATATTCTAAAATAAAAAATGTACATATTTATGTGGTGTAGAGGTTATAGAAAAAGAGAACTGTGATTGTAGTGGGGCAAGTTATAGCAAATGGGTTTGTGGGCACCTTATCTATACCATAATTCAATGCAAACATAAATGTTCTTAAAATGCTGGCATGTCTTCATAACCTAAAGACTCTGGGGTACTATTTCTAAATGTATGTCTAGTAATGCTGAAATTAAGAGTGCTGAATTTAAAAGCAGTGCCTTTTATAGATACTATGTCCTTATACTCAGAGCATTAATTTCCTTCCATTGAATTTTAGCATTAAGAGAGAGAACATAGAGAACCACTCTACTGTCTTTATTTTACAGGTGATGAAGAGAAATCCAAAAAAAAAAAAAAAAGGTGGGGATTGGGGGGAATTTGTCATTTTCTATTGAGTGATTTGCAGAGCCAGAACATTGTCCAACATGATCTGGTAGCCAGTTTTTGTTTCTTTTCTCTAGTGAACAATTTAATTCTATTTTGACTTATTTATAATTTCCCAAAGTTATTTTATACATTATTATTCTATAATCTTGGCCATCATTCACTATTATGATCCCCTCCCCAAACTTGCTATTATCAGTAAAATAGATGAATATCTCTTCCTCAATATAGAAGAGAATATTTACAATATATTTATCATTTACTCATTCTTACAACAGGTATTTATTGAATGTCTACCCTGTGTCAGTTAAAATCTGCTTAGACATAGGCCTTCCTTTATGGAGGGCTATATTTTAAGTAAACTTCCCTAGGAACAAAGGCATCCTTCTAGATAACCATAATGCCATTTTTGTACACAGGAAATTCAACTTTATACATTACCTAATGAAAAGGTTGATATTAAAATGTCCCCTTTCGTCCCAGTAATGTCTTTTATATAAAATCACAGATCCAATACAGAATTATACATTTGCTTTAGTTGACACATCTCTTTCATCTGTTTAGTTTCCTTTAATCTTGAGGAGTCCCCCACTTTTTCTTGTCTTTCATGACATAAACATTTTTGAAGAATTCATGCCAGTTACTTAGAACATCCCATTATCTGGATTTTCTGATTGATTCTTTACTGTTAGATTCATCTTCACCATTTTTGGAAAGAATACTGCGTAGTTATCTCCACCTCTTGTAAGGCATCGAGAGTCCCATTATGTCAATTTGTCCCATTACTGGTGATGCTATACGTTGGGTCCCTTGATTGAAGTGGATCCACCAGAGTTACCCATTGTAAAGGAACTTGTGGGCTGATAGTTTTATACTATATTGTGAGTATTCTTCAACAAGATTTCATCCATTGGTTTGACTATTGATTGATTATCTTTGCTGGAAACAATGACTCTACTGGTGGTTGAAAAATGGTGATTTTTAAATGCTATTGATTCTTACTCATTTTCAGTATGGCATTTTTCTTTCTGTAAGAGAGAGTCTTCGGCCCCTCTTCTCTTTCACCCTCTCATTCTCTCTCTCTGCCTTGAGTCTGACCACAGATTTATGGCTTCGTTTATTCTATTCAATGTGCTGTTTTCTATTATGGTCATTATTTTATGATACTCAAAATGCCCCAAATTTGTCTAGTGTGAGACCCCTTCAAGCCAGCCCTTGTATCCTTTTAACATATTTTCATCAATCTGTTATTACTGCTTTGCTTTCTGGCACAAGATGATGTGCCCAAGACCTGGAACCAGCCATTTCTCCAGGGATCCCCAGTTCCATTTATTGGAGAATGGTATTGAGAATAACAGGATCTGGGTAGTAGTGTGTTCATTGCTATTAGGGGTGTCATTGCTTCCAGGTACTTTCAGTTGACATAGCTAGGATATATCTATACCTATCTAAATCAATATTTATATTTATTGATCTATACATATTTTTAAAACTAATGAACTTATACTAATACTTCCAATTCAATTCAAATACCACAGGGTTCTTCCCCTCCGTCACTCCATATTTGTATCATTTGTATTTCCATGCTCTCACATTTTGAACCTTTGTTCTAGCAGCACTAATATATTTATTTGTATGCTTTATTCTGTAATGTATATGAAATAGTTTTGGAACTATTATATTAACACTACTCTAAAAATGAAAGTAAAATTCAAGACTTATTTGCAGTTTTTTTGCATTATATTGCATTACAGGTACATGGGTTAGAGAACTGGGCTTATAGATATTAAAATTAATTTCTCTTACTGTGTGGTTGTGTAAGCTTGTTACATGGTTAGGTTAGTATATATACATATTAAATTTTAGAGTTTAAAAAATCTTTGTTTTGATTTTATCTTGTTGACTATATGAAACATTTTTATAGTTCTCAAGTCAAAACAGTATAAAAATGCATACTTAGGAAAATTTTACTCTCTTCCCTATCCTTTTCTTCCCATCCTCTCATTCTGTCTTGATAACAATTTTCATTAACTTCTGAACATTTTATTCTGTGGTTTTGTTTTTTAAATACATGTATGTCTATGTGTATTTTTTTTACCTTTTTTTCTCTCTCACATAAACATAGCATACGTTTATTCTCTGTGGCATTTTAATTGTATTTGATTAACAATGTATCTCTATATAAGTTGATAGAGAGTATTTTCATTTGTTTAACAGCTGTATTATACTCTTTTGTTAAATGTAGTTTGGTTCATTCAACCTCTGTCATATTCTTGGACCTGTAGGCTGTGTTTTCCCCCAGTGTTTAATTCTGAAAATATTTAAATCTAAAGAAAAGAGGAAAAAAGATTATTTTTGAGGGAAAATGAATTGTTATTTAACATGTTGATTTGAACTATCTACATAGGACTTCCAAGTTAATATATCCAGAAGAGAAATAGGATATAAAGGTTTAGTGCTCAGAAGAGAGGTCTAGATAAAGATATTTCTTTGGGCATTCTCAGCAATTAGACCATGTTTGAAGCCTAAGAAATTGGGTCATATAAATCAGCTAGGGTATATGATGTGAGAAGAGAACAGGTCAGAGGGCCAAAAGCTAAGATATACCAATATCTCATCTTATCTTATCTTCATCTTATCTTTCTGTAAGTACCACAGAAAAAGTGGTACTTACAAGAGATACTGAGAAGGAGTGATCAGAAGTGTTGCTGAGAAACACAGTGTAATGTAAACCAAGGAAAGCAAATGTTCTTAGAAGTAGGGAAGAGTCAACAGAGGCAAATTCTGCAGAGACACATCATAAAAACACATAACTCATGGGTGGGAGCCTTCCAGACTTGGAGATATGGAATCATTGGCTCGAACCCTTATGCCATAATATTGGAAATCCAAAGCCCTTTCCAAATTTCTGCAAATGTAAAATCACCTCTGCCTGCCCTCCATTGCAGCTGCCATCTCTGTTCTCTATCAGATTAACACATGCCTGAGACTCAGCTCCTTATGTAGTTATTCAGGACTTTCCATTCAGTAAGCATTTACAAGTCGAGTAGATGCAACCGAAGGTTTTTGGGAAGTAGGTGTATGGGTTGGAGTGAGAAATATGTCAGAAACACACAGACACTTCCATTATTAAAATAATTTTAGCCATATTGCCTGTGGGGTTTTCTCGATGGCACTTTATTACCATGCAACCCTCTGCCATCTTGGAGTCTCCCATCCTTTCCACCTCCCATTTCAACCACCATTTCCTTCTCTCTCCCTCTGTGTAATCGAATAAAAAAATCAATAAAAACAAATACCAAATTATTTTCCTCTTTTTTACAGCAGCTTGATCCCTGTTCTTTCTTGATTGGGGTCTTGCACATAACTCAGATTTCATTTTCCAACTAAACGGGAATCTCAAGGTATTTTCTCAAACAAAGATATTTTGGCACCAAACATTAACTTGGTACATTTTCACTTTTATCAGATGAGAACCAGAAAAAAATGTATTGAAATGTTTAGCCACAGGATTTTTGGTCTTCTTGTTACGAGCAGCTTCAGTGGAACTGCTGGATTGCAACAGGTTAAGTAAGCTGGAGGTGAAGAAATTGAGACAATGTGAGAACATGATTGTTTCAAGTTGGCTGTGAAAGAAGGATGAGACAGTAGCAAAAAACAGATGGCAATGTCAACGGAAGATGGTTAATAATTCGAATGACTTGATCATGTTTAAATGCTGATGAAAAGGAGTCAATAGAGAACAAGAGAGAATAACAATAGAAGAGATTCTCGAGGTGGTGGGAGAAGGTTGTATCCAGAACACAGAAGTTCTGCTGTCACAGGGGAGAAGGAGATGGCTGCAGATATAGGTCATTATATATGCGGGTGCAAAAACATTGAGGACATTTCTATCTAATTGATTCCTCCATTTCTTTCTCCCCCTTTTCATTCTCTTTCTTTCGTTCCTTTTCCTTGTGAGTTAGGAGTCAAATTTCTTTATTAGGAAGGGAAGGGAAATAATAAAGTAGGAGTTTGAAAGAAGCAGAGAATCAGAGTGAGAGTTCAGCAAGAAAACATGGAAGGATTCCTAGTAGTATAGAGGGACATTTGAGGTTGGAGATCATGTATTTTGTTGTGGTGACATCATTCTGCCCTGTCCATTAGTGTTCAGCAGCCTAGGTATAGGCACAGAGAGGATGCTTTTCCAATGCTGTGTTTTGCCAGATATCTGGGATGAAAGGATGGCAGAACAAAAGAATGAAGATAATTACCAGAGATTGGTTGAAGTTGGATCTTTGGTTTGAGAAGGATGTGACAGCAAGAAAGAGCTGACAGTTTGGTGAAAATTTCCCCTCAGAACCTGGATTAGAGTCTTTCTGACTTTTTATGTTTATCTTATCGATTCAAAGTTTATATGTGAAAAGTAAGTATATCATTATAAAGCTTTAGGCTTCTAAATAGATAGCTTTTATCAAAACAGTATGAGATTATTTGGGAGTATACATTCCAATCTCATATTTTTCTGGTTTGTTGATGACCATGTTATCCTAAAGAAAATCAGATTTTGTTGAAGCCAATATATTTGAATTGTGGTAAAAGTGGTTAAGAATTGGAAATTTTTGGTTCTAGGCCTATTTCTGCTAATAGTGAACTATGTGACCTCAGAGAAGTCTTTTCTTAATAAGCCTGAACATCAGTTTCTTCCTTTTAAATGAAGGGTTTGGTGTAGATTCTCTAAACTTTCTTCTAGCTCCAACATGGTATTAATCTATGATCCTATGGATGCATAAACTTCTTTGCCATAATCATGGTCTCCAACAAAGGAACAGCAATTTAAAAAAGTATATATTTGTATTGCTACAGTGAGATTTCCAAATGAAAATCAATGAAGCTCAGTTCTCTGTTGGCTGCACTATTTC
This sequence comes from Homo sapiens, assembly GCF_000001405.40. NCBI lineage: Eukaryota > Metazoa > Chordata > Mammalia > Primates > Hominidae > Homo > Homo sapiens. The sequence continues at coordinate 167,639,131 of NC_000003.12, read as the reverse complement.
ACTGGTCAGGCTTATTCCCCCAAGTTTCTAGCCTAGGCACAAAAGCTGATAGTGATAAGCATCACTTTAGAAGTATAGCAGATATTGAAGAATTTCACAGACTTAGAGAAAATTAATAAGAACAATTATATTTCTCAGGGGTGATGATCATCTTTATTTAAAAGAGAAAGATTTATTGATTTTTTGCCCACTTCAGCTTCAATTCCCTTCTAATTCACCAGCTGGATAGGAAATCGAAATGTTGAATTTTTGGCTTGTGAGAGTTTGGTTCCAAACCTTAAATTCAGTCAAGGTCTGTGTCTTTGTTAGTTACAAAACTTTAACTTTATTCAAATTGATGAGCTCTTGAATAATTGATAATATAGTATAAATGAAAATTAAATTCTACTAAAATCTATTGAAGCAAGAAAAAAAGAGCGCTATGGACCTTGACTAGCAGAGTAATTTCCCCTGTTCTGTTGTTCACTTTCTCATAAATGTTCATTAGTAGGTAAAAATTGCAGGGGATGATATAAACTGATGCATCTGTTTTGCAATAACATATCTAATCTTCTGCTCCAGGAGACGTTCACAGAATTTGACAGCAAAACCTAATACATATTCATAACCAATATGCTTTGTAACCAAGGGAAATTGAGGCAAGTACAACAGAATGAAGCATGAGAAACCAGCATGTTAATTTTAAATTTAATTATAGTTATAGGGGAAAAGGCTGCATTTTGATAGTGTATACTCATTCAGCTGTCATGGAACATTAAAGAAAAATCATGCCAAATGTCTGACAAAAGAAATATCAATTTTGGTGAAGTGGTTGATAAAACTAGCAGGTTATGAAGAAAATAAAATTTTGAGATTCAATTATGAGCAATTTTTCATGTAGAGAAAAAAGCATTGCAGGATTCTAATGATCTGAAATAAAATCAGACAACTTCAAAATTATGGAAAGTTATCTAGTCCATACAAGATACCTTTTAATGGAATGTTTCAGCATGCTTAAAGGCTATATTCCATTTAAAATTAGGAAAAACAAGTTAATGTGATGCTTATTACTTTCTTATTACTTTCAATAACCTAAAAACATGTGTTATTAGTAACCAGCACACCTAGTCTCTACACTGAAGTGTACATATTCAAAGAGCATTGATCTTGTTGTCTTGTTCAAAGTAATTGGTAAAGAGGAAGTCAAACTGTTGCTGTTTGCTGATGATATGACTCTATACCTAGAAAACACTAAAGGCTACTCCAAAAAGCTCCTGGAACTGATAAAAGAATTCAGCAAAATTTCCAGATACAAAATTAATCAGTAGCACTTCTATACACCAAAAGCAACCAAGCAGAGAATCAAATCAAGAACTTAACTCCTTTTACAATAACTGCAAAAGAAAGAATAAAATACTTAGGAACATACCTAACCAAGGAGGTGAGGTGAAAGACTTCTACAGGGAAAACTACAAAACACTGCTGAAAGAAATCATAGATGACAAACAAATGGAAACACATCCCATGCTCATGGATGGGTAGAAGTAATATTGTGAAAATGACCATACTGCCAAAAGCAATCTACAAATTCAGAGCAATTCCTATCAAAATACCACCACTATTCTTCACAAAACTAGGAAAAACAATCCTAAAATTAATATGGAACCAAAAAAGAGCCCACATAGCCAAAGCAAGACTAAGCAAAAAGAACAAATCTGGAGGCATCACATTACCTGATTTCAAACTATACTTTAAGGCCATAGTCACCAAAACAGCATGGTACTTGTATAAAAATAGGCACATAGACCAACAGAACAGAATAGATAACCCAGAAATAAAGACAAATACTTACAGCCAACTGATCTTCAATTAAGCAAACAAAAACATAAAGTGGGGAAAGAACACCCTATTCAACAAATGGTGCTGGGATAATTGGCAAGCCACATGTAGGAGAATGAAACTGGGTTCTCATGTCTCACCTTATACAAAAATCAACTGAAGATGGATCAAAGACTTAAATCTAAGACCTGAAACTATAAAAATTCTAGAACATAACATTGGAAAAACCATTCTAGAGGTTGGCTTAGGCAAGGATTTCATGACCAAGAACCTAAAAGCAAATGCAATAAAAGCAAAGATAAATAGCTGGACTTAATTAAACTAAAGAGCTTTTGCATAACAAAAGGAACAGTCAGCAGAGTAAACAGACAACTCACAGGGTAGGAGGAAATCTTCACACTTTATACACCTGACAAAGGGCTAATGTCCAGAATCTACAATGAACTCAAACAAATTAGCAAGAAAAAAAGAAACAATCCCATCAAAAAGCGGGCTAAGGACATGAATAGAAAATTCTCAAAAGAAGATATACAAATGGCTAACAATCATATGAAAAAATGCTCAACATTACTAATGATCAGGAGAATGCAAATCAAAACCACAATGTGATACCACCTTACTCCTGCAGAATGACCATAATCAAAAAATCAAAAACTAATACATGTTGGCATGGATGTAGTGAAAAGGTGACCCTTCTACATTGCTGGTGGGAATGCAAACTAGTACAACCACTGTGAAAAACAGTGTGGAGATTCTTTAAAGAACTAAAAGTAAAACTAGCATTTGATCCAGCAATCCCACTACTGGATATCTACCCAGAGGAAAAGAAGTCATTATACCAAAAAGATATTGCCCACACGTTTATAGCATCACAATTTGAAATTGTGAAAATGTGGAAGTCACCCAAATGCCCATCAATCAACAAGTGGATAAAGAAACTGTGGTATATATATATACATGTATATACATATATATACGTATATATACAACAGAATACTACTCAGCCATAAAAAGGAATGAATTAATGATATTTGCAGCAACCTCAGTGTAACTGGAGACTATTATTCTAAGTGAAGTAACTCAGGAATAGAAAACCAAACATCGTATTTCTCACTCATAAGTGGAAGCTAAGTTATGAGGATGCAAAGGCGTAAGAATGATACAATGAACTTTGGGGACTCAGGGAAAAATAGTGGGAAGGGGTTGAGGAATGAAAGACTATAAATTGGGTTCAGTGTATATTGCTCAGGTGATGGGTGCACCAAAATCTCACAAATCACCACTAAAAAACTTACTCATGTAACCAAATACCACCTCTTTCCAAAAAACCTATGGAAATAAAAAAAAATTTTTTTAATTTAGTGGTGAGTGCTTAGAATAATGTTTGGCATGGAACAGACACTTAATAAACATTTGTTGACTGAACAAATACGTATACCTAACTGGTGCTGTTTTATATGGTATACATCTTTAATATGTATTTATTAATGAGTAGATCAATGGGTGGAAGGATGGATGGACCTATTTCTCCCAGTGGCTTACAACTCATCATTTGACATTTATTTTCAGGATCTGGAAACAAATACTCACCAATGACTTAAGGGCAGTAAACCTCGGGTCAGTGAAATGCTAACCCACTGCCAACCTTTGACAGAGGAGAAAATACCCAGACCAAGTTGGATTGTCCTCTCTCAGTAGTGTTAAACTGGGACTTTTATCTTGTCTTGGTCAAGTTCTTATTTGCAGAGTAGGAGAAAAGAAAGTATTTCTTTCCTCATTTCATTATGAAGTATGCTATTGGAAAGAGGGCACAAAAATATAAACAACATTTCTAAGGGTTGGCAGATTTTGAAAAATAAAATGTCTGCTTTAGAAATATATTTTTCCTCCTGAAAGTATGTAATATTTAGGCTTATTACTAATAGAACTATACTTTAGCAACCAATCGATAAGTCTTAAGAAGAATAATACCCCACCTTTATTAGGGTCTTGAGTACAGGCAACCTCCTACTTTATTGATGGGAATGTAAATTTATTTAACCTTTTAGAAGAGAATTTGGCAAAATATATAAAAACAATTTTCAGGACATGTAAATTCTTTGATTCAGTAATTATGCTTCTAGAGAATTTCCCTTAGGAAATAATTGGACAGCTTAGCAATGATGTGTATGTAGGAATATATATATGTTGCTGGGTTGTTTATATAAAACTGTAAAGCCTTGGGAATAATTGAAATTTTTAATAATGGGGTTATAAATAATTGTATGTCTTCTCTATAAAATATTGTGCAGCCATTAAAAATTGTAATAAAGACCAATATATAAGAGGCATAGCTTTATGGTATGATATAAGTGGAAAAAGCAACATAGAAAGATATGTATGTATATCATGACACTATTTTGTAAATAATAACTGGTCGTTTCTGTTTCTGCCTAGAAATAAATCTGAAAGGCTGATGGCATTATAAATGATTTTAATTTTTAACTTATCTTCATTTTCTATAATAAGCATGGATTCTTTTGTGCAACAAATAAACATTTGTAAAAGTATGTTGGCACACTCACATGTTGCCAATGGCACACGATCTCTTCTTAATGACAAAAATGCCTGTCAAGTTTCAAGGTTTTTTTTTAAAGTTTTGCACTTAGGGTTAGAGCTCAGTTTTCATATAAGTTATGGTTAAATCCAAATCTTACAAAGCTCAGAGCTAAAGGAAATTTTAGAGTTTATGCTTTTTCTAAATAGACAGGCAGCTCACTAGAACTGACTGTAACTGAAAAACATGCTTTTTAGGCAAAAGGAAATGATTTTCAGAATATTCTTTGAAAAGAATTCAGGAAGACAGGAACATTTTCAAAAGGTCTAAAGTTGTGCCTAGTGATATAATCAGCTGGACATACTGAGTATATTAGCTTTCTGGCTCTTGCAACAACAATTGTAGACAATTTAATAACTGGTTATTTTCTTAGCAGTTAAATAGATGTAGCAAAATAAATGTAGCAAAACATTGTACTAGGAAGAGCTGAATGAGATTATGTTTTCTAATGGCTCATATAATTTTCACCTTTATTAGAAGAGGAGTTCTAACAGAGGCATGAGTACTAATTATTACCTCAAAAAGACCATATAGATAATATAGATTAATAAGAATCAAAGGACATATCTTTAAAACACTATTAAGCAGTTTTTATTTGAAAGTCTACATTTGAATGGGAACACATTGTTTACTGGAATAATAAAGGTTTTATTAAAGCCATAGTAATTAAACTTTTCATTGAAGGAAATGAAAATGAGAATTATTTTATGCTCTATGTTTTATAATGAAGTAAAATTTCCGAAATTCCCAGTATTTCCCTATCTATATTAAGTGTATACTTGTGAATTCATACTGTTGTACATGTGTCAACAATAATTAATGCTTGAATAGAGTTGCCTAATGTAAAGAAGATGGCCTTCATACAGACAATCTTATTGGTACTTCATGCAAACCCTGAGAGAGGTCATGACTGGCTTAAGGGAATACAAATGTTATGTGTCAAACCCAGGCATAAAACCCAGACATTAACTAAATTAGCACTAATTTAAAGATGTGTGTCTATGTATGTATATGTATGTATATCCCTAAAGATAGCTCAATGGTAAATTATTTCGCCATTCAGTATTGAATCTAATGAAAACTAAGAATTTGTAGCAACTAAATGATGCTATACGCAAGTTCATTTTTTAGATTGAAAGGTTATCTTTGCTTTCTTTCTGTGGAATTACTTTCTGCCAAGTCCAGGATGGGGATATTTGGCTCACAGAGCAGCACTACGAGTGGCTAAAGACAAGACAGAAGCTGGGATTACTCACATGGATGAAATGTCGCTCTTGTATATGTGAAAGAGCCATGGTTCTGGGAACAGGTAAACTTTACTTTCACCAGGCTCACTTAGGACAGCTTTCTATTTGTGCCTTTGAGGAAGAGCAGCTGAAACAGTTTGAATAGTTGTTTCTTTTTAAGACAAAAACTAGCATCTGCTGCTATGATGGTAATAGTCATAGAAGCAGAGGATTTCAGACCATTCTGCTGGTACAGTCTCCTGCACCTATTCTCTGGGTCCCTAAGAAATCTCTAAGAACTATCTAGTTAGCAACTAGCCACCCTGGTAGAGATCACTAATATTAATAATTATGAACACCTCCAAAACCTTACACACACACACACACACACACACACACACACGAGTTTGGCTAAATTCTCAGAAAACCGTCATTGCTGACATGATGACTCAATTTATAATTCTTCTATTCTCTAAACCCTTCAGCAAAGCATTGACATTTATTGAGTATAAATGTGCCATCCACACATTAAATTATCCCATGTGCCATATGTACATTAAATTATGAATAGATCCTCATAACAGCACTAGGAATTTGTTATTATTATTCCTATTTAGAGGTGCCATAATTGGGGCTAAGACTTAGAGCTCCACCTTCTTCACTACCACACAATTTCCCAACCACAGTGTATGATATATATAGTAGGATGAGATGAATGAATTAATTCTAGTTCCAGAGGGTGGGAGTCACTGATAAAGCAAGAATTAATTGTGTGGTAAAAGTTAATGCATTTGTGCTTTTAAGCTTGTATAAAAGATCAATTACCTTAATTGTACATTTAACTAATTTATTCAAGTTGGCATATGATAGAATTAATAACGTATTAATCAAAACATCATGCTTCTTGAAAAAAGTTAGGATTTTTTAGTAAAAACAAACTACTAGATTTTAACTGGAGGTATGGCAAAAACATAGTTTCATTTTCAAACTTAACAAGCTAATGGGTGAACAATTGGTAACAGAACTGCCAGGGATATCATACAATTGTACTTTTTGGGTCAAATTTCATAACCTAGGCATATTTCTTGTCTCTTTCCCCAGTGGATATTGGTATTATCAATGTGTAGAAAAGTATGTAGTTCATTGCTTATATCACTTTGGAAAAGAAAATTTGTCATTTACAATTTGTTTCTAATACTACATTCTTAAATGTAAAAAAGAAGTTGTTTTGATATTTGTCCGAGTAGTTTCTTGTTCTTAGAAATAAAAAATAAACTACCAGCTCATAGGAAGAAAATATAGAGATCCTGCTTTTAAATGTTGTTTTATTGACGAGACAATCTAAGAGATTGATTGATGCCATTATGTAATAGTTTAAAATAAAAATCAACATTGCCTTAGTTTTCAGAAATAGTTTGCAGTTTTGACACAGATGGAGCACTTTTAGGACCAGGTTTCTTTCTCTACTCTTAAAATCTGGATCACTAAAAAATGTCCAGCTATCTAAACATTTAATAACTGAACAAAGATAAGAATAATTAACTCCTGGCTGGTTCAAAGGGCTCGATATCAATTATTTTTCAGAAAGTTATTTTAATTAGTTAAGTGCCCGGACTAACCTCCATTAAACTAACCTCTGTTATTTCAGCTAATCTTCATAACAGTTTTCTTGCAACTGATACTGCTTTACCTACTTTACAGATGTGAAATTATGGCTTAGCAGTGAAGTACCTTGCCAGTAGTTCTCACGATCTCTGGTGGAACCAGGCTTAAACCTACATTGGTTTGACCTGCTCCACAATATGCTGACTCTAGTGCTTCTTCCAGGCCTGACTCTCGCTTCGATGTGGTGGGAAAAGTTTATTCTCTCATAATGAATCTCACTGAACTAAACAGCCCATCAACGTGAAGCTAAATATTTGCTTGAAATACAGTTAATCTTCATTATTTGTGAGTTTTATACTTGCAAATTTGCCTACTTCCTAAAATTTATTCATCCCCAAATCAATACTCGTGGCACTTCAATGGTCCTTCTCAGACATGTGCAGAGTGGCAAAAAATTTGAGTCTCCCAATGTGTACATTCCAAGCAGAATCAAACAAGGCAACACTCTGCTTTCTTGTTTCAGCTCTCATATTGTAAACAAGCGTCCTTTTTGACATCTCTTTTTTAAATTATTTATTTATTTTTTACCATATGGCAATTTCTTTTTTCTTTTTTTATTCATTACACTTTAAGTTCTAGGGTACACGTGCACAACGTGCGGGTTTGATATGTAGGTATACATGTGCCATGTTGGTTTGCTGCACCCATCAACTCATCATTTACATTAGGTTATTTCTCCTAACGCTATCCCTCCCCCAGCTCCCCACCCCCTGACAGGCCCCGGTGTGTGATGTTCCCCACCCTGTGTCCAAGTGATCTCATTGTTTTTAACATCTCTTTAGTGCCACGTTTTTCACATGTTGTGCTTATTGTTGCGGATTTCGCTGTTTAAAATGGCCCCCAAGTGTGGTGGTGGAGTGCTGGCTAGCGTTCCTAAGCCTAAGAAGGCTGTGATATGTCTTACTGAGAAGATACATGTGTTAGCTTCATTCAGGCACGAGTTGTGATGCTGTTGACTATGAATTTAATTGTGATTAATTAACAATATATTAAATAAGATGTCTTTCAACAGAAACACACATAAAACAAAATTATGCAGTGAGCAGTTGTGCAGAGGTTTGCAGAAACTTAACCCTGTGTTTCCCGTAGGAACAATGGTTCAGTATCTGCTAATTTAGTGTTCTCAGAGAGTTTACAGAATATAGCTACCACGAACAGCAAGAATCAATTGCATGTGGCTTCACTGTTCTTTGTTATGGCATATGTATAGAAGTTAAATTATTGCCCTTTGATTAAAGTTTCACCATGGGGTAATTTTACTGGCTTCACTAAGCACTCTTCAGGGATTCACTCAATTTTCATCAACCACTTGACAGGCATACCTCGGAGATATTGCGGATTTGGTTCCAGACCACTGCAGTAAAGTGGGTATCAGGATAAAGTGAGTCACACACATTTCTTGGTTTCCTAGAGCAAATAAAAGATAAATATTTAAGCTATACTGTAGGGTATTAAATGTCCAATAGCACATATCTAAAAAAGTGTACATATCTTAATTAAAAAATACTTTATTGCTAAAAAATATTAACAATCATCTGAGCCTTTGGCGAGAGGTAATGTTTTTGTTAGTGAAGGGTCTTGCTTTGATGTTGATGTCTGCTGACTGATCAGGGTGGTGGTTGCTGACGATTGAGACGGCTGTGGCAATTTTGTTAAAGAAGATAACAGTGAAGTTTCCCACATTGATGGATTCTTCCTTTCATGAAAGATTTCTCTGTAGCATGAGATCTATTTCACAGTGTTTTACTCACAATAGAATTTCTTTCAAAATTGAAGTCAATACTCTCAAAACTTGCCACTGCTTTATCAACTAAGTTTATTTAATAGTCTACATCTTTGTTGTCATTCAACCATGTGTATAGCATCTTCAACGGGAATAGATTCCATCTCAAGAAACAACTTTCTTTGCTCATCTATAAGAAGCAACCCCACATCCATTTAAGTTTGATCATGAGATTGCAGCAATTCAATCACATCTTCAGGCTCCACTTCTAATTCGAGTTCTCTTGTCATTTCTACCACATCCGCAGTTACTTTCTTCATCTAAGTTTTGAACCCCTCAAAGTCTTCCATGAGGGTTGGAATCAACTTTTTCCCAAACTCCTGTTAATTTTGACATTTTGACTTCCTCCCATGAATTATGAATATTCTTAATGGCATCTAAAATGATGCCATTCTAATGAATCCTTTCCAAAAGGTTTTTAATTTACTTTGCTCACATCCACCAGAGGAATCATTGTCTATGGCAGCTATACCATATAAAAGATATTTTTTAAATAATCAGAATTGAAGGCTGGAAGTTATTTCTTAATCTATGGGCTGCAGTATGTACACTGTGTTAGCAGGCATAAAAACAATATTAATCCCCTTGTACATCTCCGTTGGAGCTCTTGAGCCACCAGGGACATGGTGGAGCAGTACCCTTTTAAAAGGAATATTTTTTCAAAGCAGTACGTCTTAGCAGTGGGCTTCATTAAACCACACTGTATATTCAGTAAACCATGTATATTCAATAAACCATGCTGTAAACAGATGTGCTGTAATTCAGGCTTTGTTATTTCACTTATAGAGCACAGAAACAGGATCTTGCTCTGTTGCCCAGGCTGGAGTGCAGTGGCACAATCATAGCTCACTGCAGCCTCTATCTCCCAGGCTTAAGTGACACCCCTACCTCAGCTTCCCAAGTAACTAAGACTACAGGCTCACGATGCCCAACTCATTTCTTTTATTTTTTGTAGAGATGGAGTCTCACTATGTTGCTCAGTCTTTTCTCAAACTCTGGGCTCAAGCAATCCTCCCCTTCAGTCTCCCAAAGTTCTGGGATTATAGGCATGAGCCACTGTGCCCAGCCAGATTTAGCATAATTCTAAAAGCCTCAGAGATTTTTGGGAATAATAAATGAGCATTGGTTTCAGCTTAAACTCACCAGTTACATCAGCCCCTAACAAGAGAGTCAGTCTGCCATTTGAAGCTTTGAAGCCAGGCATGACTTTTTCTCTCAGCTACGAAAGTCCTAAATGGCATCTTCTTCCAAATAGGGCTGTTTCATTTACATTGAAAACGTATTGTTTAGTGTAGCCACCTTCATCAGTTATCTTAGCTAGAGATTATAGATAACTTGCTGCAGCTTCCACATCAGCAGTTTCTGCTTCATGTTGCACTTTTATGTTGTGGAGATGACTTCTTTTTTTCAAACCTCATGAATCAATCTCTGCTAGCTTTCAGCTTTTCATCTGAAAGTTCCTTACCTCTCTCTGCCTTCAAAAAACTAAGGAAAGTTAGGGCCTTGCTCTGTATTAGGTTTTGGCTTAAAGGAATGTTGTGCCTGGTTTGATCTTCTATCCAGACCACTAAAACTTTCTTCACAGCAGCAGTAAGGCTGTCTAACTTTCATATCATTAACGTGTTCAAAGGAATAGCACTTTTCCTTCAAGAACTTTTCCTTTACATTCATAACTTGGCTGTTTTGTGCAAGAAGCCTAGTTTTCAGCCTCTCTCAGCTTTTGACATGCATTCCCCATTAAGCCTAATCATTTTTAGCTTTTGATTTAAAGTGAGAGACGTGAAACTCTGACTTTACTTAAACATTTGGAGGCCATTATAGGGTTATTAGTTGGCTTAATTTCAATATTTTTGTGTCTCAAAAAATAGGGAGGCCCAAGGAAAGGGAGAGGGAAAGCAGAATGACTGATTGGTGCAGCAATCAGAACATACACAACACTCATGAATTAAGTTTGCTGTCTTGTATGGGTGTGGTTCATGGTGCCCCAAAACAATTACAGTAGTAACATCAAAGATTGGTTACTGATCACAGATCACCATAACAGATATAATAATAATAACAATAAAGTTTTAAATATTATAAGAATTACCAGAATGTGACACAGGGATACGAAGTAGGGATGCTATTGAAAAAATGGCACTGATAGACTTGCAAGGTTGCCACAAACCTTCAATTTGTAAAAATCACAATATCGGCAAAGTACAATAAAGCAAAATACAACAAAAGGAGATATGCCTGTACTAATTTCCTGTTGCTGCTGTAACTAATTACCAAAAACCATGACTTAAAACACACAAATATATTAATATACAGTTCTGGAGTTCAGAAGCCCCAAATGGGTTTTACAGGGATAAAATCAAGTTGTCAGGATTGTCTTTCTTCTGCAGGTTCTAGGGGAGAACCTTTCCTTGCCTTTTCTAGCTTAAATAGAGGTAACCTGAATTCTTTGGCTCGCAGCCTCACATCATTCCATGCTTCTATCATCACATATTCTCCTGCCTTACTCTTCCCGATACAAGGACTTTTGTGATTGACTTTTTGTGATTGAGAATGTCAGTTTCTAGTCCTGTCAGTTACTTGCTCCCCAGTTTAAGTTCACTTGAGTATATTACTGTTATGAAGCAAAAAATATTTTTCTTTTCATGTTGGCAGAATTGCTGATTAAATTCACCTTTGTGGGTAGCACAGTTCTCTCATGCATATGATGATTTCACTGTTGTCTCATTATTGTTTTTGGATTCCTGTTTCTAGTCCCCACAGCCAAGGAAAATCATTTGTATGTCCAGAGAAGACTTCACGCAGAAGATGACAGAGATTGTTGGTTGGGGCACGAAGGAAGAATATGGGGAGCTCTTTGACAAAGTGGATGTGGCCCAAGATGGCTTCATTAATTGGGACAAGCTGACTTCATTTATACTGCTAGAGCTTTATGAGCAAGATGAACGAGCAAAGGCAACTGTGGTGCCCCAGTGGAAGGACCTTGAATTCCTCCCAGTAAAACACAAGGACACCATTCAAAAAGTAATTTTCTTAAAAAATTCAAGTCATTATCTGACAATTAGTAAAGAAGGTTTATTGGCAATCTGGGGAGAGCATTTAAAGCTGCAAGAAACATTCCCCATCACTTCAGATGCCACCAAGCTCAAACACCTGTGGGTGACAAGTCTGGTTTCTCTGGAAAATGTAAACAAGGTACAGACTCTTTATAAAAAAATGTACTGCTTGTAAAAGAGGGAAAACTTATGGGGCAGGGCTCCTGGCTAGCAGTAACAGAAAGCTGCATTACTCTTGGTGGCTTTCTCCTGACCTGGAGGGAGAACAGGTAGTGCCAGCTGTTTTCTTGGGTGCCTTGTAATGACACTGTGGCTGATGACTCAGATTCCTGGCTCTGTCTTCAATGAGGCCATGCTTCATTATTAGCTTATAAGGACTTTACTCCTGTATAGTTTACAGCAGGACTGTGGATCTGTATGTGGAGCTGAGAGGCTATTATAGTGCATGGCAAGATTCAATGGATTTAAGGGGAACTGCTTATCTAATTTTGATCACTGTGCTAGTCAGTGTCTTCATTCTAATAGATAGGGCCCACTCAGTCTAAACATCTTCATATACCAATACCTCTCAGAAAGATAACATACTGTAAGTAAAATAATTTTGATGGGGAAGGTTGGAGCTTGAAGTATCCATATTGGTAATAATTTATATGAAGCAGATGGTAGATTTTACTATGAAAATTTTCAAATGCACCCACAAGCAGAGAGAATAGTATTAGAAACCTGATGTACCTAGTATTCAATCATTTTCAATTCACGGCTAATCTTGTTTCATCTATACCTCCCCCTTAAGATCAAAAACATCATATTATTTTATCTGTAAATATTTCTGTATTTCTAAAAGATGTCTCTATTTTAGCATAGCCAAAATACCTCTACCACACTTAATATCCATAGCAATATTTTCTTAATATCATGAAATATCCAGTCATGTACATATTTTCCTGATTGTCTTATTAATAGTTTGTTTCAACGAAGATCTGAATAAGGTCCAAACATCGTGAATGGTTAATATGTCTCTTTTGATATACATGCTTTTCTTTGTTCCTAATTTTTTTTTTTTTTTTGCAAATTTTGGCTGTTGCTGTTGATGTTTTTGTTAAAGAAACCAAGGTTTGTCCTTTAGAATTTTCCACACTCTGGATTTTACAGATTGTGTCTACATGGTGTTGTTTAATATGTCCAGCCATTCCCTGATTTTTCTAGTGAATTGGTGGTCAAGTGTAAAGCCTTGCATCGTTTCAGAGTGGTTAGTTTGTTTAGAATAGGTGGTTATGTTTTCTTCAGTCAGTAGGTATTAAATACCTGGTTCTTCCTCTTCCTGAGATGTTAGCAGTTGTTGCTGATTATTCCTAGATCCATGAATTTTTTAGGGGTCAGAAGATGATATTCTAATTTCACAATTTCCTTTTCCTTTAAGCTAGAATACCTCTATAAGAAAGAAATAAACCCATTAATTTTTCAGTTATCAAGTGGTACAAATTAAGGGCAGAATACATGCCTAATTTTTCACTTTTGTTTGCCAGTTTTCAAAATAATGAGCTGGTTTTCTAATATTCTCTAAAGATAAACAATGAGTACTATTATTATTATTATCAGTATAATTGAAAAATAATGGGTTTAAAATTTTTTATTTGTTTTAATCTACTGAGTTGTTATCCCATACCAAAAATTGTACCCTCTTTAGAGAGTGGGAACAATGCAAGTCGGCTTCTGAGTCTTTTTATACTCCTGACAGTGCTTGAAAGCTTCTTTGTTTCGTGGTATGACAAAATGTTCCAGAATCATCTTGTATATTTCCTATGCCAGACCTAAAATCAGCATTTCTCCAAAAAGGCAAGTTATTTTTAGTGGGAAAATGTATGCTCTATTGTTTGGAACCATAGATCATTCTCATCCTCAGTAGCTTCCTATGCCCTAATCTATTCATCCTCTCAAAATCACCATGGAGTAGATATTATTCCCACTTTACAAATGAAAGACTGAGCAAAGAGAAGTTGTGTAATTTGCCCTCAGTCACCCAGGATGTAATCAGGGTTGCCAAGATTTGTAAACTGAGGCAGCCCAACTTCAGGCCTATGCTTCAGTCTTTGCTGCCTTCACAGTGGCTGCTGACATTGGATCCAGTTCCTTTTTGCCAAGTATCTGGAGCTAATATTTAACTTGTATGAATTAAAAGATAGTTCTAGTCCAGATGATTTTTTTATATCTATGTGCAGTATTCTGTTATTTTCATATAATATTTGTTTTGCACTGTTTCTTCTTTTCAGCACTGAACTAAAATCTTAGCCTTTCTTTTGTGCTTACTCAATATAGAATCTTAAAGAATGTTGCTTTTTTCTTTTTAAAATAGGTTTATTGAAATATAATTATACAAAATATACTGCACATATGAAAGTGTCCCAAGCTGATAGATTTTAACACATACATGACCTGTGAAAAATCAAAAGTACAAAGAAGACAATGAACATATTAATCACCCTCAAAAATTTCCTAGCAGTGTTTTGTAACTCCCACAATCCCTTTTTATGTTAAGCAAGCACTGATCTGCTTTTGGTCACTATAGATTAATTTGGATTTTCTAGAGTTTTGTATAATTGGTACCATACTGTGTGTACTCCTTTTTTTCTTTTCTTTTTTTTTTTACCATGGCATAACTATTTTGAGAATTATCCACGTTTTGAGGTATACTACTAGTTTTTTTTATTGCTCTGCAGCCTTCCATTTTGTGCATATAGCCTCACAAACATTTGGTATGATCAGTAATTTTTTCTCTTAATTTTAGCCATTTTAAAAGGCCTGCATTTATATCTTATTGTGGCTTTAATTCATATTTACCTAGTAGCTAATAATGTTAAGCATAGTTTCATGTGCTGGTTTGCTACCTGTACATCTTCTTTTGTAAAATGTCTATCCAAATCTTTTCCCATTTTTTATTAGGATTGTTATCTTATTGAGTTTCGAGAGTTTTTATATGTATTCTGGGTAGATAGATTTATCAGATGGATACTTTGTAAAAACTGCATCTCAGTTTTTACATTCTCTTAACACCGCCTTTGGTAATTTCATTTTCAGACTGTTCATTGTATAGAAATACAATAGATTTTTCAAAAACGATAATATATTCTGCATCTTTCTGAAGTCATGTGTTAGTTCTGTAGTGTTTTTGAGTATTTCTAAAATTTCCTATATATAATATCACGTTATCTTCAAATAGATATAGAGAGCTAGTTTAACTTCCTCCTTTTTAATATTGATATTTTAAAATTTCATTTTCTTGCTTAATTTATCTGGTTAGAAATTCCATACCATATTAAATAGAAGTGGTGAGAGTGAACATCCTTGTCTTGTTTCTGATCTTTATGGGGAATGTATTTATTTTTTCACCGATATGTATGATGTCAGCTGTAGGATTTTTGTTGTTGTTGTTGTACATGCTGTTTATGAGGTTGAAGAAATTCTCTTCTATTCCTGGTTTGTTGAGTGTTTTTATCATGAAAATGTGTTGGATTTTGTCAAATGCATTGTTTGCATCTACTAAGATTACCATATAGCTTTTGTCTTTTATTCCATTAATATGAAGTATTACATTGATTGATTTTTGTATGTTAAACAAACCTTGCATTCCTGGGATAAATATTACTTTGCTATGATGTGTAAACTTTTTTGTATGTTGCTAAATTCTCTTTGCTAGTATTTAGTTCAGTATACATTTTACATTTGTATTCGTAAGATGTATAGATCTGCAGTTTTCTTTTCTTGTGATGTCTTTGTCTGGTTTCAGTATTGGAGTAATCCTGGCCTGATAAAATGATTTGGGAGGTGTTACCTTTGCCGTAATTTTTTGGAAGAGTTTGAGAAGTATTGGTATGATTTTCCTTGAAACGTTTGGTGGAATTTATCAGTGAAGCCATCTAGTTGAGGATTTTCTTTGTGACACTTTTTTTGACTATTAATTTAATCTTTCATTTGTCATAGTTCTGTTGATATTTTCTGTCTGTTTCTTCTTTGACCCATTGGTTACTTAGAAGTGTGTTGTTTTATTTCCATGTAGCTGTGAATTTCCCAAATTTTTCTTTTGTTGAATGAAATTTCTAATTTCATTCCATTGTGTTTGGAGAATATAATTTATATAATTTCAAATCTTTTAAATTTTTTGAGATTTGCTTTATCACCTAATATATGGTCTACCCTGGAGAATGTGCCTGTGCACTTGAGAAGAAGTGCATCCTGCTGACGTTGGACTGGAGTGTTCTTTAGACATACATTAGATCTAGTTGGCTTATAGTGTTTGTCAAGTCTTCATTTTCTTACCGATCTTCAGCTCAGTTGTTGTATCCATCATTGAAAGTAGAGTATTGAAATATCCCACTGTTATTATTGAAATGCCTACTCTGTCTTCAATAATTTTAGTTTTTGCTTCTGTATTACGGGGCTGTATTGTTAGAAAAATGGCAGATGTAAATCTTACCTTTTCAGTAATTATATCAATGGACTAACCAATTAAAGGGCAAAGATTGGCAGAATGGTGATTTTAATAATTTATGCATGTTTCTTAAAATTCTCTATTTAATCAGACATCATTCTCATTTGTTTCTTTCTTTCTTTTTTTCTTTTTAAAGATGGGAGTCTCACTATGTTGCCCAGGCTGTTCTTGAACTCCTGGCCTCAAGTAATCCTCCTGCGTTGGCCTCTCAAAGTGGTGGGATTACAGACATGAGCCATCACACCCAGCCACATACTTTCCTTTGCTTCTTTAGATCTTGTTTTCTTTAGTTGTTTGCACATATATATAATAGTTGAATTGAAGTCTTTTTCTAGTAAATCCAATGTGTGAATCTCTACAGGGACATTTTCTATTGACTTATTTTTATGTTGTTAAATATTTTCCCCTTTGTAAAATAGCCTTTAGGGTTTTCTCTGACTTCAGATAAAGCTACTTATAGAGTCTGTATCAAATGATTTCCATGAAAGTCTCTACTTGCATCATAAAACATGGTTTGTAAAGTTTCTGGTATGATTGTATCATGCTATATCTCTGTGCCTTAGTCTCTCCTGTGTGATTAGTGGTCTAGTCTCCCATGGATGGGGATGTTGGTGACTGTGTGGAATAGGGATAGGAAATAAAGCATGTTCAAATGCCTCTAATGGGAAAAGTTTCTTCTTGGCTAGATTCCACAGTTAGGATAAGGTACATTTGTGCCGCTGTTCTTAACTTCTGTAATACTGTTAAGGATCCTCAGAGAACAAAGTCTGATTTGGCAATTAGAGTGGCGTGTCTGCTTTGCATATTAATTTTGCTAAATCCATCAGAATTACTTTCTGATTTTCTACTCTGCTACTTTAGATAGCAGTGGCTTTTACAAGTAAAGAGGTTTGTTTCTATGATCTGCTGTCCAAAGAAGAATTTGCTTGCCAATACAAACTCCAAGGCCTGAAAGGAACACCAATTTGCATGGATTATTGGTATGATCCTCTTGATGCCAATGAATCAATTCTTTCTTTTGGGGATATAACTGGAAAGGTAAGTGAGGGTAGATTAAGATTGAATACTATGGATTTAATCATCAAACTGTAGTTTAAAGTAGAAATTAAAATGCAATGAGTGTGACCTCCAAATTTAATTACATTATGGATTACATGCACATTGGACATGGAAGAGATGGATTAGGTCACAATTTGTCTTCTTGCGTACAAAAACAAATCTTAATTGTGTGTGGGGGTTTGTTTGTTTTTTTGGTCTGTGTATAGCTCACTTTTCTCATGTAGAAAAAAAGATCTTGCTAACCTTTTTCACCATAGGATGCTTAATTTATTAGATCCTAATATGAATAAATGTTTAATATTAAATGATTACATTTATCCCATGAAATGCTTTCAAATTTATTGTTCTGATTTTCCTACATAGAGTATTGGGTTTCTCAGTACCAATTTCCTACCGAGTGCTCATTGCCTGTATCATATAACAAAAGGATTAGAGAGGGCAGCTCTGAAACCTAGATATTGGATACAATTATTTCTGTCTTCCTATCAAATTTCACCCGAACTATGAAAAATTATTACTTACTGAATGAAACTAGAATATGTCTGTGACCTCTGAAGTAGGCTAATTGGAACAATTTCCTTTTGTAATTGTGAAAGCTTTTCATTCTTACTATTTTAATGACAAATGTGTCTTAAAAACAAGTAAAAGACTGCCCTTTGGTAATTGTATCACCAAACTAATAATTGTTCTGTTTTTTAGTATAACACCCTGCATCCTTTAAATAATATTGAAGAAATTCTTATTAAGTTAATAGCTATTCCTTATTAAACTAAAATAACCTAGAATCTTCTTGCAACAAATATCCCGTCCACGATTGTTGTTCTTTCAATGTCTCTGTCAAGGTTCAAGCAATTGCTTTCACCGCAGCCTTGATTTCCCTGTTTGAACGGCCTGCTAGTGCATGTGAAGATGGAGAAGCCACTATGACCATTAACTGGGCAGAGCTGCTCTCTGGATGTCACAAATGTTGCCATATATTAGAGCATAAACTTCATCAAGGAGATTGGGTCAGGCAAGGTATTGAATTTGAACAGTAATGAAAGTAAATGGTCACCTCTGACTTGTACATTTATATTCTTTGATGAAAATGCTTCACACAAAACCTTTAAGTCTAGAAACCAATAATTGGTTCTCTGGAGGTTGTGGCCTGGACTCTGCTATCCCTTGAATACTGGCAGGGATTCTTTCTTTCTTTTTTTTTTCCTTCTGAATTTATGCCTCATACAATTAATTCAGGTGACCAATGTGCTCAAGAAATCTTAAGAGAAAGGAAAACATTGTCATAGAATTCATTTAGCTTCAACTCAACTCTGAGCCTAGCTAATCTCATCTAGTTACATTCAGGGCTGTTTAATAAAAGAATTTAACAAGTTCCCTCAGAACCATTCCTTTGTTTTCCTTATGTTCTCATGGGAAGCATATTAGTTTGACTGCCTTTAGAATTGAATTGTCTTAATTTTCTTCTCTTTTTTTTTTTGATGTAATGACTGAATTTCTCTAATCTAGAGTACTTGAGTGGCAGTTCTTTGTGTAATAAGACTATGTTATAAAATCAGTATCTACAGAAAACAAGAACTTTCTTAAAACCTAGTCACCAATGAATTAGTTTCATAAAATATCTTAATTTTATCTGATGGTTCGAGATTCAGATGTGCAATATCTGCACTAATATTTCTTTGTTTAGATACTGAGTATGCTAATTTTCTCACTTCTAAATTGCTACACTAAAGAATGCCCACTGAAAAGAATGAAAATTAACAATCTCATTGACTTTAATGAAATTAGATGAGATTAATGTTATTGGGCTATTCCTAATACAGTTTGAAGAAGAGACAGTCAACATGGACCCAACTGTTGGCTTTTTGGTAATTTTACCCTCTTTGGGTTTCAGAAGGTTGAAACTAATTCTTTAATGTATGCCCACAGTAAGAATTTCCTATGTGAGGAACTATGTGCTCTTCATTTTTTTCTTTGATATAAATCATACCATGGCTTTAGTACCTTCTATACATTTTTAAATTCTGCATGATATTAATTGTAGGAAAAACAAAAGATGACAGTTTTTGGTCATCTGCTAAGTGTGACAGGCACAAAATTATGTGTTAAGTTTTCATAACATGAAAATAAGAATCAGAGTATTAAAAATATACAGAATGGAGGTATTTCAACTTCTTCTGAAAAACATTGTATTCTTTTATTTGTATTCATATTCATTTGTTTTTTAGATACATATGCCAAAGACTAGATTATAATAATAAAGTGATAGTTCTTGAAATTTACTCACAGTAGGTTCTCTGAAAGTTAATGTATTATTTGAGTCCATAACCTTTAAATAATATGAGTAAATACAGAGAAGCCTATAGAAAGCTGTCTTAGAAAGGGTTGGAGAGATAACAAGTAAGGCTTTTAAATTGTGATTGTCTTTTCCGATGATGCATTATATCTATATATTCTTCATGTTCAGGAAGAGAATGGGGAAGCTCTCACTGCAGACTCTGCCTCAATTTTATTTAAGGGTCCCAAAAAATCAACCATACCAATGAAGTAACCTATCAGTGAGCATTTGTCTCTTAAGTTATAGGACAAGGATTGTTCTCTAGGTCAATGTTGATTTGCTACTTACCATGTGTCTATCATATCATTCTGATCTTTGATTCCCTCCTCTACTGACAAAAGAACATGGGAATTTAGTTTAGTATTAGCAGTGGAGATTCATGTTTATGACCTAAGGAATCCGATTTCACAGTTTCACAGTCTGGCCTTAAATCACTGCAAAGTAGGAATTGGCTACAGAGAAGTTTTATGTATATATAAGGAACTACATATGTAATACAAATTAGATATATATAGATGTACATATATAGTTAAAAATCTTTGCTATCTTATTCGTATTATATATTTCTCAGTTCTTTGAATAAAAAATTCATTATAATCAAGCAGATAATTTTTGGAACAACAACAGGAATACACACACACACATTTACTTTAAACACTTTATTTGAATTATGGACTTGAGTGTCAATCAATCAACAATTATTTATTGATCTTTTATGTGTCTTAAAACTGTCTTAGGCATTTGAGACTATAGAAGAAAGATTAATTATAGACTCAACCCTCAGAAAACTTAATATCTGAATGAAATAGAAACTAACACAAGTCACCTTATTAGAACATTGTTCAGTGGTACTGAAAATTAACTACTAAATCTTATAAACAAGATTTTGACTCCTAGAGTAGTTCTTAAGCCTGAAAAGCCATAAGAAAAAGCTTTAAGGATCAGTGGTGGTACTTGAAGGATGGATGAGGGAGAGAGAAAGAGAACGTGGGCAACATGAGCAAAATAGACAAGCAGGCACAATGATGACAGAAGGAGAGGTAGACATGAATAGATCAGACACTGAATATTAGGGAAATAGAAACAAATAGGTCAAATGGGGACATAACATTGGAAGATATTGGCCGTGAAACGTCGAAGGCTTTTGAGGAAACTTGGACAGACCCAATGCAGACAGTATTTAGGAAAAGTTTACTTGGTAGTTTGTTCAGCATGGGTTAGAGGAGAAAGAAACTGCAATCAGACTGGCTAGTTAGAAGGTTTTTGATCATTAGAAAATGGAAATGATAAAGAAAGGACAGAAACAGGCAGCTCTCTGAAGCAACCATCTTCAGGATTTGAGGTCTAAAAATGTGGAATGGTAAGCCATCTTAGGACGTCTTATAAAACTTTCCATTTCCAGCTGGGGAATTTTTTATTTGAAGATTACAGATCCCCACCTGGCCCAATGCATAGACTCTTCCCAGTTCATCTTCTCCTCCGGAGGAGGATTGTTCATTCTGAGATACCCCAGATTCTGCAACTAAAGACAAGTCTTTCTTTAAAAAAAAGGTTTTTAAAGGTTTGTTTCTTTGTTTGTTTGAGATGGACTCTCACTCAGACTGTCGCCCAGGCTGGAGTGCAGTGGTGCGATCTTGGCTCACTGCAACATCTACCTCCCAGGTTCAGCGATTCTTGTGCCTCAGCCTCCCGAATAGCTGGGATTACAGGCATGTGCCACCATGCCCGGCTAATTTTTGTATTTTTAGTAGAGACAGGGTTTCACCATGTTGACCAGACTGGTCTCAAACTCCTGACCTCAAGTAATTCACTCATCTGGGCCTCCCACAGTCCTGGGATTATAGGTGTGAGCCACTGTGTCTGGCCTACCACAGAAGAGTCTTTCTTGCCAACGTTTTTCCTGAAACGTCCTTTATTTTTTGCCACTTCACCTTACATCAAACTCTTTATTTTGCCTCTTCCTCTGTCTAATTCAGATGGACTCTTCATTGCATTATTTGCAAGGTTCTCAATTTTGGCATTTCTCCTGGATTCTTCTTTAAAATCTTGCTTTGCAATGCTGCCCACCCTGCGAACCAAACCTACCAATTTCTGTACCCACATTAGAATCTGGGTCCTGCCTCTTACCTTTCCAAGCCTAGAAGGAAATTTGAATGCCTCACATGAAAATTACATTTACATATAAATGGAAATTAAAACGTCCTTCTTGGGGCAAGCACTATATTCCTCATTCACCTTAGTATCCAGTATAACACATAATACAATGTTTTATAAGATTTTCTCTTTATCGCTGATTTTAAGCCATTTGATTATGATGTACCTTAGTTTTTCTTGGGGTGTGTGTATATGTGTGTATGTCTTTATACTGGTTAAAATTCATTAAAATTCTTGGATTTGTGGATCTGTAGTTTTCATTAAACTTGGAAATTTTTCTATTGTTATTTTTTCAAAGTTTTCTTTCTTCTTTCTCTCTCTCTCTCTTTTTTTTAATAGGACTCTAATTATTTGCCTTTCCAGAATTCTGTCCCACATTTTCTAGCTGCCTCATGGTCCTCTAACGCTAATCTTTGTTTCTCCAACTCTGGAGGTTGCTAGGCTCTGTGTGGTTTCCTGCTCTGTGTGCTGATAGTTTGGAAATTTCTTCCAAGAAAGTCAGAGTGATTGTAGGGCCCACTTTATTTGTTTCTCTTCTCTCAGGGTTCACAGTTCTACTTTGCCTATTGTCAAAATCTGAAATATTGTTGCTAATATTTGTCCAGTTTTCTAGTTGTTTATGGTGGGAGATTAAAATCAGTCCTTGTTATGCCATCATGGCTGGAAGCAGAAATCCAGCACAATGCCTTTTAAATAGTGAATATACAATAAATATTTGTTGATCATTTAGCCTCTTTCTTTTGTTGAGATCTTTCAGTCACCTTAACAACCCTTTACCAGCTGCAAGGATAGGAGCTTCTATGTGATATTCACCCAAAAAACATTTGCTAGGTAATTACTATGTAGTAGGCACCATAGTAAGCACTGGCATATTTCAGTTTAATTCTGTTATCTAGATCCATCCCAAGAAACTTAACTTCTAACATCCGACTAAGAAGATTTTTAAATAATCACTTCAAGGTTTGTTTATTATCATGTTCACTTTGAAGCACTCAAAACTAAGCAGCAGTCAGTAACACTTAACGAAGTATCCTTCTGCACATGGTATTGTGCACTATGAGCTCTGTGATAATTATTGTAGGGAACAATGGATAATTTATTTATCAAAGGATGCTGGAGTGAGTGTCTTGTTGAGATGGGTTAAGGGCAGAAAAGAACTGGCTGCTTATCTATTGGTGCTGAGAAACTGAGCTGTATTTTAATATTAGTGTATGCCAAAATGAACTATCTGAAGTCCTGCGAAAGCATTACATTAATTTTCTTCTTCCTTTTTTCTTTTTTAAAGAATTTCACTTGTGTCTCTAATTAATAATTCCTATTAGTTTCTTCTATGGGATTTTATGTTTTGATTGAAGAGCAAAAAAAAGCCATTTTGCAATTTGACTTGGAAAGTCTTAGATAAATTATTGGGTGAATTTTATTCAAAAATATTTCAAAAGAAAAGAGAAATATCAAAAGAAATTATGGTTAATAGTTGTAGAATTTCTTTCTTTCTTTTTTTTTTTTTTTTTTTAAATGGAGAGCCGGGAGTGGTGGTCCACGCCTGTAATCCTAGCATTTTAGGAGGCCAAGGTGGATAGATTGTTTGAGCCTAGGAGTTTGAGACCAGCCTGAGCAACATGGTGAAACCCTGTCTCTATAAAAAACACAAGAATTAGCTGAGTGTGGTGGCATGGGCCTGTAGCCCTAGCTACCCAGGAGGCTAAGGGTGGGAGGATCACCTGAGCCCAGGAGATTGAGGCTGCAGTGAGCCGTGATCACCACTATACTCCTCAAGTACCTCTGAAAGGTGAATATACTTCAGTCATAACCAATGAAAGAATGCCTTTTCTTAGATTTAGCAATACAGATTAGAAGCTTAAATATGACTTTCTGTTGTTGTTTGAAGCTCAGTGATTTCAATACGAGAAAAGACAGGAAGACTGAAATGAAGAGGAAGGCAGAAGGAGGAAAGGCAGGATGGATTCAAATGTAATATATGGGATTTGTAGTTGTTTTGGATTCTGTTCCTTTGTCTGCAAGACTTGCTCTATCAGGAGCAAGCAACCAATGACTGTTTAATTTGGTATTCTCTTTACCCCAGTAACGTGATTCAATATTCTTAGAACTCTTCATGAAATATTTTTGGTGATTTTCGTCTCAGTGTGAGGAGGGAATATACAATTGAGGAAAGAAAGAAACACATGAGCAAATATGATAATAATTTTTATTGAAGCTAAGGATAAAATATCTGTAAAAATGAAATGTCAAAGGAAAAACTCAGTTTCAGACAGAAGAGTATTAACATAGTGCTTTAAGATAAGGTTCAGATTTCTTATTTAAAACTTTGAAGGAGTAAATGTTTTCATCTTCTCTGAGTGGTTCTGTGTCATATTTTAATGGAAAAATAATTACATTCTGAAATGCTTGTAAAGTAATTATAGAGGTTTTGTGTAATAGTGCTAAGACATAAACGTCTTGAATTTCAGAGAATTTTCCTTTTTAATAATTTCCTCCTCATATAGACAGTATCACTAGAAACCTTGGAAACTGTAGTCTGGGAATGCAGATATTGAAAGAATGAGGCCAGGTGGCTCATGTCTGTAATCACAGCATTTTGGGAAGCCGAGGTGGGCGGATCACCTGAGGTCAGGAGTTGGAGACCAGCCTGGCCAACGTGGTGAAACCATGTCTCTACTAACAATAAAATTAGCCAGGTGTGGTGGTGGGCGCTTGTAATCCCAGCTACTTGGGAGGCTGAGGCATGAGAATTGCTTGAACCTGGGAGGTGGGGGTTGCAGTGAGCCGAGATTGCGCCATTGCCCATAGCACTCCAACCTGGGCGAGAGAGCGAGACTCCATCGCGGGACGCAGGAGGGGGGACAAGAAAGAAAGAATGAGCATGAAATTGTCAGCAACAAAAATCATTGATATTTTATTGCGTTGAAAATGTTTTCTGCCCTTTGACCAGGGCTAGAAGAAGATACAAAACAGTTTGAATTGTTAACAAAATCACTAATTGCTTTTTTTTTTTTTTTGAGACAGAGTCTTGCTCTGTCACCCAGGCTGCAGTGGCATGATCTCGGCTCACTGCAACTTCTGTCTCCTGGGTTCAAGCGATTCTCCTGCCTCAGCCTCCCGAGTACCTGGGATTACAGGCATGAGCTACCACGCCCTGCTAATTTTTGTATTTCTTGTAGAGACGGGGTTTCGCCATGTTAGCCAGGCTGGTCTCGAACTCCTGAACTCAGGTGATCCGTCTGCCTCAGCCTCCCAAACTGCTGGGATTACAGGTGTGAGCCACCACAACCAGCTGCTAATTGCTGCACTAATTAGTGGAACAAGTGCCAGAAAATTTAGAATACAGACTCCTCAGGGAGTCTTTATAATTGATAGGGACTAAGTTGGCAGAGAAGCCAGATTTAATATCTTGCTTGTGTGTGGCTCGACTTCCCTGCATCTAAATCAGTCTTCCAGACACTGTCGAGTTAGCTAGACCACGCTGCCTTTCCTGCCAGTTCTGTCACTATGTTTAAAGCAGTTGAAATCCGCTGTGAGCAGTGGCCTTGGTTTGAGGAAAGGGCTCTATTTCCTGCAGCTTGTTCTGTAGCATGGTAGAAGAATAAGATTCATTTGTATCATGGACATGTGCCTACCTGGCATTTTGAAAAGTAATTGAATTAATTGCATTATTATTTTTAAATATGCTTAGCAGTGCTGAATTCTTATTTTAAAGATAGAATAGATACAGTTATACTTTATTTTTTAATTTAAATTTTCTTGTGTGTGTGGATACAGAGTAGGTGTATATATTTATGTGGTACATGAGATGTTTTGATATCAGCATAAAATGTGAAATAAGTACAACCTGGGGACTGGGGTATCCATCACCTCAAGCATTTACACTTTGAGTTACAAACAATCCAATTACACTCTATAAGTTATTTTAAAATATACAATTACATTATTATTGACTATAGTCATCCTGTTGTGCTATTAAACAATAGTCTTACTCTTTTTAAGTAAATTTTTTTGTAACAATCCTCACCTCCCTGCTAGGCCCCCACTACCATTCCCAGCCTTTGGTAACTATCATTCCACTCTCTATGTTCATGAGTTCAATTGTTTTGATACTTAGATCCTACAAATAAGTGAGAACATGCAATGTTTGTCTTTTTGTGCCTGGCTGATTTTGCTTAACACAAGATTTCTTCCCAATTCAGTCTTGGTGGGTTGTATGCATCTAGGAATTTTTTCATTTCTTCTTGATTTGCCAACTTATTGGCATATAGTTGCTCATAGTAGCCATTAACAATCTTCTGAATTTCTGCAGTATCAGTAGTAATGTCTCCTTTTTCATTTCTGATTTTATTTATTTGGATATACTCTCTTTTTTTCTTAATCTGGCTAAAGCTTTGTCCTTTTAACTTGTCCAAAAATAAACTTTTTGTTTCATTAATCTTCTGTATTTTTTTCAATTTTATTTATTTCAGCTCTGATCTTTATTATTTCTTTTCTTCTACTAATTTTGGGTTTGTTTTATTCTTGCTTTTCTAGTTCTTTAAGATGCACCATTGGATTGTTCATTTGAAGTAGTTCCTTTTTTTTTTGATGAAGGCACTTTCAGCTATAAACTTCCCTCTTAGTACTGCTTTTACTGTATCCCATATGTGTGTAGTTTTTCTATTATCATTTGTTTCCAGTAATTTTTCAATTTCCTTCTTAATTTCTTCACTGACTCACTGGTCATTCAAGAGACTATTGTTTAATTTCTATGTATTTGTATAGTTTCCAGAATTACTCTTGTTAGTAGTTTCTAGTTTTATTCATTGTGGTCAGAGAAAACACTTGATATTATTTCAATATTTTGAATGTCTTAAGATATTTTTTGATACCTAACATATGGTATATCCTTGAGAATGATTCATGTGCTGAGGAAAAGAATGTGTATTCTGCAGCTTTTGGATGGAATATTGTGTAAATATCTATTGGATCCACTTGGTCCATAGTGTAGATTAAGTCTGACGTTTGTTGATTTTCTTTCCAGAAGTTCTGTCCAGTGCTGAAAGTGAAGTGTTGAGGTCGCCAGGTATTATTGTATCAAGGCCTATCTCTCTCTTCAGTTCTAATAATATTTACCTTATGTATCAAAGTGCTCCCATGGTAGCTGCATTTTTATTTAAAGTTTTTTATATCCTCTTGCTGAATTGACCCCTTTATCATTACATGGTGATGTTCTTTGTATCTTTTTATAGTTTTTGTCTCGAAATCTATTTTGTGTGATAAAAGTATAGTGACTCCTACTCTTTTTTGGTTTTCATTGGCGTGGGATATCTTTTTCATCCCTTTTATCTTCTGTGTTTCAGTCTATATGTGCCTTTATAGGTGAAGTGTGTTTCTTGAAGATAACAGTTCAATGCGTCTTGTTTTTTTGCCCATTCAGCCAGTCTATGTCTTTGATTAAAGAGTTTAATCCATTTAAATTCAATATTATTAATGGTGAGTAAAGACTTACTCCTGCCATTTTGTGATTTGTTATTTGGTTTTCTCTTCCTTCTCTCTTTCCTCCTTATGTTCCTCTAATGAAAGTGATTGTCTCTGATGATATGATTTAGTTTCTTG
The DNA here is from genome assembly GCF_000001405.40 of Homo sapiens. NCBI lineage: Eukaryota > Metazoa > Chordata > Mammalia > Primates > Hominidae > Homo > Homo sapiens. The sequence continues at coordinate 167,611,355 of NC_000003.12, read as the reverse complement.
CTTTTTATTTTTTGTATATTCATATGTTTTTTGGTTTGAGGTTACCATGAGACTTGCAAATACTATCTTATAACCCATTATTTTAAGCTGAGAGCAACGCTATTTGCATAAACAAACACAAAGCAAACTAATAAAAACTCTACATTTTAACTTCGTCCCTCTGCTTTTTATCTTTTTGTTGTTTCTATTTATATCTTATTGTACTGATTATGCCTTGAAAATTCGTAGTTATTAGTATTGATTGGTTCATCATTTAGTCTTTCTATTTCAGATAAGAGTAGTTTACACAGCACAGTTACAGTGTTATGATATTCTGTGGTTTTCTGTGCACTTATCATTACCAGTGAGTTTTGTACCTTCAGGTGACTATTCATTGCCCATTGTCCTTTTCTTTCTGATTAAAGTATTCTTAGCATTTCAGATCTCAGACCAGATCTGGGAAAATTCTCCGGATTACCAGACAGAGACTCTTGTTCTCTCCCTTACTGTCCCCCAAACATGCAAAGTCTCTCTGTCTGTTCTGAGCCACCTAAAGCTGGGGGTGGAGTGACACAAGCACCTCAGTGGCCACTACTACTATGACTGTGCTGGGTGAGACCTGAAGCCAGCACAGCACTGGGTCTCGCTCAAGACCTGCTTTAATCACTACCTGGCTACTGCCTATGTTCACTCAAGGCCCTGGGGCTCTGCAATCAGCCAGTGGCAAATCCAGCCAGGCCTGTGTCTTTGCCTTTAGGGCAGCAAGGTCCCCCAGCCCCTGGGTGGGTCCCAAAATGCCATCTGCAAGTCAGGGACTAGAGTCAAAAACTTTAGAAGTCTACCTGGTGTTCTCTTATTGCAGCTGAGCTGGCACTCAAACAACAAGATGCAGTTCTTCCCACTCTTTACTCCTTTTTCCAAAGGCAGAGAAGCCTCACCCTGTAGCCACTGCTACCCCAGGCCAAAAAGAGTACTTCCTGACTACTGTTGATGTTCCCTAATGGCCCACTGTTTCTTAAGTCAGCTTGTCGTCAGTGCTGCCTGACCTGAGACTTACCCTTCAGGGCAGTGGACTCCTCTCTGGACAAGGGCAGGTCAGAAATTCCATCCAAGAGTCAAGTCTTGGAATTGGGGACCCTAAGAGCCTGCCTTGGGTACTCTACACCCCTGTGGCCATGCTGGCACCTAAGGTGCAAGACAAAGTCCCCTTTACTTTTCCCTCTGCTTTTCTCAAGCAGGAGGAGTTTTTCCCCATAGCCTCCACAGCTAGTAATGTGCCGAGTCTCACCTGAAGCCAGCAAGTCTCAGAGGCTCATCCAAGACCCTTGATATAATACCTGGATATTGCATCAGGGCACAAGGGCTCTTCAGTTAGCAGGTGATGAATGCTGCCAGGAATGGCTCTTTTCCTTCAGGGTAGTGGGTTCCCTTCCGGCCCAGGTTGTGTAGAAGTGTCATCCAGGATTGAGGGCCTGTGACAGGAGCCTCACAACTCTGACCAATGCTGTCTCCTGCTGTGGCTGAGCTGGTATCCTAGAGGCAAGGCAAAGCCTTCCCCACTCTTCCCTCTCCTCTCCTCAAGTGAAAGGAAGGCACCTCTTTTGGAGCCGTGAGCTGTGCAGTCTGGGGTTAGAGGAGGGTGATGCCAGCCCTCCCTTGGCTGCACCAGCTGGTGTCTCAGTATGTCGTGTGCCCCCTCAGTCCATTGTCTCTGGGCCTAGTTCCACACAAGGACTCACCTATGAGTTGCAGTCTTTATGGCCTAGAGCTTTATGGCATTTCAAGTTTATTTGGAGACAAACAGTGCTGTAGCCCTCAGTGGTGAGGTTTACTGGAGCTCAAGTTCAGACCTCTGGGCTGGGCGATTCCCCTCTGCTAAGGTTCCCTCTGTGGGCGGGCACCAGTTGAGTTTGGTCCAGGTTTCCTTTCTGCTTTGCCAGGACAGCACAGAGTTCAATACTACATAATTGCTCTGCTCTCTCTCCCCCAGTTCCCAGAGAAGCTCTCAGCACCACGCAGTTGCTGGTAGGGGTGGAGAAGGGTGGGCGTTGGTGATTCAGTACTGTTTTTTTTTATTTTTCTATCTCTTCAGTGCCTCTTTCAGCGATGTGAAGTGAAAACCAGGTACAATGAGGGCTCATCTAATTTTTGTTTTTTGTAAAAGTGTTTTTTTCTGTGTAGATTGTTAACTTGGTGTCCTTGCAGGGGTAGAGGGGAGAATTGGTGGAGACTTCTTTCCTACCCTGCCACGATGTCTATCAGTTGGCAAATGTTATAGAGTGCCTTATTTTATCTTACTCTAAGTGCACTTAATAGCATTACTTACTTAGTTTTTAGGTATCACTTTTCATTTTCAAATCACTTTCCCACATTAACTAATTGCTGTTACACAGGGTCATTTTGACAGCACACATGAGGACAAAGATCGATGGCAGGGTCCCTTAATGTCTTTTTTTATGACTGTGTGGCAAGAGAATGAAAGAGTTGAAAGTTAGCATCTTAATGGATAAATATAATCAAGTTGTTTTTTTTCTCTATAATGTTATATAAAAGTAATTTAAAAGTATTTTCCTCTACCAATTCCAAAACTTACTGAGAATATTAACAAGAAATCATTTATTTTACCAGCTCATCCTATTCCTTAGCTTGATAGTTTTAAAACTTTTCCATCATAACCTATCATTTCCTTACCTCAATTCAAGAAATGAGAAAAACATTTTTATTTATCAGATAATTTGATTTTAAGGAAATGGCTTTTCTCTCACCTTTTACCCAGGCACTCTCAGGAACTCTGGCATTCTACAGTTTAATCAGAAACAAGTTATATCTTGGTTTAGACATTAAGCGTGAATTGTTGAGCCTCCAATATGTAGCACTGCAGGCCCATAAATGTCGTTTTGTAACCTGCAGATTTAAATCTTAAAGCAATACTTCGGATGCCAGAGCAGCATACACGTCTTTCTATGTCTTTCTTTATAACCTGGAAACTAAAGATGATAGTTGGGTATAATGGGGAAACACATGACGAAGTAATTTTCTGGGTAGGAATATTTTATTTTGATTGTATTGTAATTATATTATGGGATTTCCATGCACTTGAAGATATAATTATAGTATTATGTTGTATAGTTTACATCTTATAATATTGCCTTACTGAGAGTCAGGTTATAATAACCCTTTTTTGTAAACAAAGAGAATATTTTCAGTGAGGCTGCTTCCTGAATGAGAATCATTGCCATCAGATTTTATACTATTGGAACTTCTAGTACAGTAGTAGTACTATTGCAGCAGGTAATCATGGGACTTTATGTTCCTGAAATTAATTGCTCTCTAATAAAACTTAAAGGATTCTCCTTTATAGGAACGAATTACTTCCCAGATCCTTGCCTTTCTTTCACTTCCTCCCGTCCTCCCTTCTTTCCTTTTTTCCTCCCTCCGTCCCTTTTTTCCTCCCTCCCTCCCTTTTACCCTTTCTTCCTTCCTTTTATTAAGAAGAAAAGAGAGAAAAGGATGAGAGAAAGCAAGGAAGACATAGAAATACTGTTCCCGTGGGGATCAGAGGCAATAGAAAAGTGAAGTGATCAGGAAAGGGAAGACTCAAGATAAATTAGGGGCTTGGTTTGGGATTGAGGGTATGGGGACAGAAAGGTAGTTGGTAATAGGAAGAACCCCAGATCTGGACCTGTGATACACATTGTAGTGAGGCTTAGTAAAAAAGACGGAGGCAATAGCACAGGAAAGGAGAGTTGACAGCCACACAGGACTGGGTTCAGTCTCATCTCCACCTCCAATTAGCTTCATGCCCTTGAGCAAGTTGGCTTTCAGGTTGCTATCTTCTCATTAGGAAACTTGGAATAATTTACCCACTAAAGATTATTATAGGGTGAGAGCACCCAGAGTGGTGCTTGTACATAGGAAGGATTCAATAAATAATCCTAAAAACTATTTAAAGTAGTCATAGGTCAAAGAGAAATTCCATATGGGGGATAAGCAAGAAACGTACTGTTGGGGCTCAGAAAGTGATACCCCAAAATGAAAACCTCGGAAGCAGCCTCAGGAGCAAAGTTTCTCTCTGACCTTCTCCTGCCCATCTGTCTCTCCTGCTTATTCTTTCCTGAGCCAGGTCATAGAAGCTAGAACTCCTTTTCCCCAAAGGTAGCCGTAAAGTCTAAAAATATTATTCTAACATTCCCCTACTATTAGTGTAACCTCCTGACCATAAAGGAATGGAATGACATCCCTCATTCTAGAGTGGTCCTACCCCATACCCAGGAGAAAGGAATGCCGTATAGAGAAGTCAAGAAGAATCTGAGCAGACAAGACTTGCTGGGTTTTCCACTCAGTCTATTTTCATTAGCTCATATTCCTTTTTTCCAATCATATTTTTACATGGCTGTCCCTGCGTCATAGAACCCAAGTGTAAAAATGGACAGTGTCTTGTATATCTTTGGATCTTCATTCTGAAGGTTCCTGTGTCATGTAAATCTATGATCAGATGAATTTTTTGTGCTTTTCTCTTGTTAACCTGTCTTTGGTTATAGGGGTATTGGCCATGACCCTTATAATGAGGAGGAAAGGGGTCACTCACTGCCCTCTCTGCCCTTATAACACAATCCAGGTAAATTCTAGGCAGAGTGGAGAAACAGACCATTTTGGCCTTTGGCAGCACTTTTGTGTTTCATGACACACTTCCCAGTGAATTATTCTGTGAGCCAGCTCTGTGAACCAGCTCTACTCTGGTCCCCTTTCTGAACATCTCCTTTGTATCCTGTTCTCTCCTTATTTTCCTCTTAGAAATTGTGTTCTGCTATTAGCAATATGCCAGTATCAAGGGACAGTTACACTCATTTACATTAAAGAAGTAGAAGCTTAAAACAGAAGCCTAAAATGAGTATTGACTAACACAAAGGATGTACATCATTAGCAATAGAAATTTTAAGAACCACTTGAGGAAGCAGGTGAAGAATAATTTCTCACTCCAAAATTACCTGTGGCTGGAGGTTTATCACTTAAGTTCCTCAGATCTATTATGGTTGGACTTTATGAGTATAGTGAGAAGGTTCTCAAAATCGTGATATTTTATACACAATTTTGTGTGCATGCATACCTTTCTGATGGAGAGGGTCTATAGTTCTCATCAGATTCCCAAAGGGGTGTTTGACCTCCCAAATTTTAAGAACTATGGATTAACATACTCTCTAGAGTATAAAATAATGGCAATACTTGCATTCTAGTGCTTTGCTACTTTGTGTGGTTCTCAGAGAGCATCAGGAGCAACACCTAGGAATGTGAGAAATGCAGAATCTCAGGTTTACATTGAATGAGAATCTGCATTTTCACATAGCGATTTGTGTGAATGTTAAAACTTGAGAAGCCAAGTTTCAATAGTCAAGAGATCAGGCCCTGTATTCTGAATTTGTACTCTGGCTCTACCAAATACTAGTGTCCCAAGCTTCGATTTATAATATTGCATGTCATGACACCAAACTTAAGAGTTAATCTCAGAACTTCAGACCTGAGTTTGACAATTACTTGCTGACTTTGGCAAATCACTGAAACTGTGTGGATGAATCCCTATTTCTTTACCTATGAGATATAGAAGTAGATTAGCTCTTTCTCAGCTCTCAATTTACCTTTTGTTTCCCACACAGGTGATTTGTCATGGCCTCTCATCTATTGAAATGCTTTTTGTCAACGTTCAACAAATGTCTCTTAAACCCTGAAAGTCACACTGATTTCTTTTTTCTTTGAAATTCTATTATACATTTTGTAACATTCAATTTATCACTTTATGATGTACTAAAATTGTCTCTAATTGTTTGATTTACACGTTTTTTCTCCCAAGTTTGGGGCCATATAATTGAAGTCCAGACTGCATCTGTTTTTTTTCTTATTATCTTTATCATAGCACAGAACACATAGTAGATGCCCAATAAATCTTTGAGGATTGAATGCCATGTTTTGAGAGACGATATCTGTAAATGACACACTGAATAGTCTCAACATCATTAATTTAGTTAGAAATTGGTTGTGTTATGCCATTTATTTCCTAGGGAGATAGCTATGGAATTTTCTAAATCAAGCTATTTACATATCAATATGAGCTCTTGAATTAATAAATCCTAGTTACCTTTAGAAACAGCCCAATTGAATAGATCAGAGGAAAAGGAATGCATTGAGCTATTTTCCTGCTTCTCAGAACTTTCTTGCCTTTAATAATTGTTTGGAAATGTATAAATACCTGTGTATGTGTGTGTGTGTGTGTGTGTGTGTATATATATACACATATTACAAATATATGTGTGTATATATACGCCATATGTATATGTACACACACACACACACACACACACACACACACACAAAGCAAATTAAGTTATTATACCAAAATAGTAAAACTAGATACTGTTTTTAACTCCTTAATGAGGGATGCTCTTTTTGTGAAGCAGAAATTTATTCTCACAGTTCTGGAGGCTGGGAGTCAAAGATTAAGGCACCATCAGATTTGCTGTCTGGTGGGGACCTACTTTCTGCTTCCTAGATGGTGCCTTCCACCTGTGCCCTCACATAGTGGAAGCAGCAAACAAGCTTCCTTGGACCTCCTTTATAAGGGCATTCATACCATTCTTGAAGGTTCTACTCTCCTGACCTAATTACCTTTCAAAATCTCTGCTTATCTTTCCCTAGATTGGGGGAAAAGTCAGAATGTAGAATTTCCTGTAACTTCTCAATGGAATTCTTTTGTGGGAGGTGGGAGAAGGGGTTTGTGAGGTGTTTTTTAAGTATCAGTTTGTATCATCATAGTTTGAGTTTAATTTTTAACTTTCCATATTAAAACAGCTCCATTTTACTAATATCTTGTGAAGAATCAACTAAAGATTGTTTTTCTCTTTTTAATTTTTTATCAGTTACTTACAATGCATCTTTAGACGCTATCATTTCCAGTACAACCAGCAATACAAATAGTGTGGTGATGGCTTGGAGAGAGAAATCAAAAAAGCGTCTTAATATGACATCCTTCAACATTGCCCAGGGCATTCATGCTTTTGATTATCACTCTCGGCTCAATTTAATTGGTAGGTAAAATAAATCATGATAACTATGAGGGCCTCATAAATAGTCTGGGATGTATATTTGTATGCATGGAGCCTTTGCTACCTTGTTGCTGTATTGCTATAGAGACCATCTCGAGAAGCTCACATTTTACTGCCTGAGAATGTCTGATAATGATGCATTATGATGTGCAGTGTGTATGAACTACATTGAGGTAAAAATATGAGAAAGTGCCCAATGCTTTAATGAGTTTTTTTTTTAATTACAATTGGTGAAGGGTGTAAAATGATATAGAGAAGGAAGACAGTTTGTGCAGCATCTGCCATTCTGCCATCTTCCTAACACCACCAAATGCTCCACCCAAACAAATGCATTTTTTCGTTGCTACTACTACAGCTACCACTACCAGTGCATGCACACACACACACACATCCATACACAAGAGAACCGCAAAATGTAGACTGTTTTTCAATTACCTTTCAGAATACAATCTCTAATGATTTTTGAAAATGTTCAGATTATGCGAGGTTTGTTTACTAGAGGAGAGTTCTTTTGATGTAAAAAAAGTTTATTTTAACTGAGGAAATATAACCTTTCTCAGGCATTAACTATTTAAATTAAAAATTTAGACATTCTGAAAGCTGATAATTTGATATATGATATTTGTTCAAACATTATAAAAATGAGGTATAGATATATTATTGAAAAATTAATAGGGTAGTTACAGAGCATACACATGGTCTACGGAATGGGTCATATTAACTCACATTCAATAGTTGTCATTCATATGAAGATTATTAATATTAGCTAAGGAGCTGTGTCCATAAAATTCCCAAAATAATACCTGACAATCACAGTAACAGATACCTTGAATATGAATTCGTGAATATGCCAACATCAAATCTTCAAGGAGTACTGTAGATTTATTAGAGAAGGATAGAGGAGTTGGTGACTCATTTTGGCAAGGACTCAAATAGAAACTATTTAATTTATTGATTGGTTAATCATTTCAATCTCTGTATAATAATAATTACTTTGTACCTCCTATAGTGCTGGAAAAAATAAGGATGATTAAGTTCAGCTCCACAACTGGCCCTAAGCTAGGAAGCAACAAAGAGTATTGTGTTGTTTTGAATAGATACAACATTTCCTGCTCTGGAAGAGCTCCCTAAATATAACTGATTGATGTTCAAAAATATCTTATTCCATAATAAAGCAGGTCAAAAGTATATTTGTGCTGCTTTTTTGCTTGCACATACAGTCGTGCATTGCTTAATGATGGGGATAGAAAGGCATCATTAGGTGATTTTCCATTGTGTGAGCATCATAGAGTGTACTTACACAAAGAGATGGTGTAGCCTACTACACACCTAAGCTATATGCTGTAGCCTATTGCTCCTAGGCTACAAACTTCTATAGCATGAGACTTACTAAATACTATAGGCAACTGTAACACAATGGTATTTATGTATCTAAACATATAAAAGGTACAGTAAAAATACCATATTATAGTCTCATGGGACCATATTCGTATATGCTGTATATTGTTGGCTGAAATGTTATGAAATGCATGACTGTACTTGATTACTTGATAATTTGTCTTTTTATAGTTTTTAATTAATTTATGAACTTTCAACATTGTTTTCTTTCTTTCTTACTCCTGGGATAACTTTAACACTGCCTACATTTGTAGGCTAAGCTGGCTGGAGAGGGGAAATATCAGGGTTAGGAAGAAGGATTCTGTCCCCTCCTGGTTAGGCTGTTGGTTGGTTTTTAAATGGGACTATATGTTTTCTTTCACCTCATACATAGCCTTTTCCCCTTGACAAATTTTTTCTTCCCTAATCCCTCCATTTCAACTATTTCTATTGACAGAACTCATGCTCTATTAGCCTGGTCTAGTTAGACAATGGCAAAACAGGTGCATTAGTCAACCTACAGTTGACATTCATCAAGCTAGAGTTATATGGTAAACTCATTTCACAAAGAAAATGCTGTGGGCTATTCATGCTATTAAAAACATTTTTTTTCTTTCTAATTCTGATTAGCAACTGCTGGCATTAACAATAAAGTTTGCCTTTGGAATCCCTATGTTGTCTCTAAACCAGTGGGTGTCCTTTGGGGCCACTCAGCCAGTGTAATAGCCGTCCAATTCTTTGTGGAAAGAAAACAACTTTTCAGCTTCTCCAAGGATAAAGTAAGTAACATTGTGCTTTTAATTAATTTAGTTTTGCTTCCCCGATTCCTACCCAAATCAACTCTGGGATCTGAATTTCTCTGAGAGATCGTGTCAGTTTTTAAAATATACTGGCTAGCTACTTATGTTTTTGGAAGTCTATATTTGGAAAAGGTGTTGGTTGATGGTTACTTAACAGTAGTCCTAGACAAGTGGGCAAAGTATTTCATTAAATTTTTTCAAATCATGTACTCAGGGATTTAATCTTTATTGGGCTCTCAATATGTCACACCTTGACAGCTTCCAATGTTCTCACAAATTCAATAGAAAAAACAGAAAATGAAATGTTGCTTTGATAAGATAAAGTCCAGGCATAGGCAATTAAATATTATTGCTTTGATATTGAAGAGACTCAGTTAATTAGAAATTGAAGTTAATCTGAAGAACATCAAGCACATTAAGAACCTTTTAATTAAATGTATCAGTTCATTTCTGTTTTATGATATTGATGGGATATTTTAAATATGGTGGAAAAAAAAATATGGCACTAGAGCCGTAGAGTCCAGGTTGAATCCTGACAACACTATTTATTACTTATATCCACTTAGGCAAATTTCTTCATCTCTAAGAGTCTTGACTTTTGTTCCTTGGTAAAGCTTCAATCTTACTAATGCCCAACTTAAAGATCCAGTTAACATGATAGATTTCAAGATAGTTGGTTATGAAGAGGAGGGTGCATATAAAGTGTATTGAAGATAGTCTTTGAGTGAATATAAATTTTTGTTGTATGCTAAAATATATGCAAATATAAATTACATAGAAATTCATCTTCAACTCCTTAGCCACACCCCATAAATTCTACCAAAATTAACCACCATAAATTCTACCAAACTTACTTATTTTACTGTATTACCTAGCATGTAAACTTTTTCTTGAACTTCAACAATCAGCTGCCAATTTCTGTTGATTTTACCATCAAAATGTTTATCAGTTTCACCTCTCCATCTCAGTTGCTACTGCTGTAATTCAAAATCTTATCTTCTTTTCCTCAAAATACTGCAAAGGTTTTCTAATATATCTCTCTATTTTCAGACTGATCTGACTCTACTCTGCCCTCCATTCTGCTAATTTGCAAGTAGCTTGCAGAAAAATTCTTCAGTCTTTCATCTCTGCCCTCTATTTAAATATGAACTCTCAAATTCTTAAAATTTTATACAAAGCTCCCCCCATCTACTAGCCCCACTTCACTTCCCGCTTTTCTCCTTCAAATTCATTTAATGCTCCAATCATATCAAATTATTATCTTTTCTCACCATGCAGTTTCATGGCTTTGCAACATGCTCTTCCTTCTGCCTTCAATTCCCTGTCTTCTATTAATTGGCAGATGCCTATTTATCCTCCACATTTTAGACTTTTTGAAGTCTCTTATGCAGACGTAGGTGTTTCTTTCTGTGTGCTCCTGTTGCATTTGTGTGTCTCTCATTACAGCAGGTATCATACTGTACTGATATTGTTAGTTTGCTTTCTTAAGATGCATCAGTATTGAAAATGTAAAATAGGGATGGAGCAAGATCATGGGATAGAAAGCCCCACCAATGGTCTCCCCCAATAGGAACACCAAATTTAACAACTATCTACACATACACAAAAACACCTTCATAAGAACCAAAAAAATCAGGTGAGCACTCACAGTACCTGGTTTTAACTGAAAGGATCACCAAAGAGGGTAGGAAATACAGTCTCCAATTACCAATGCCACCCCTTCCCTTTTCCCACCACAGTGTCTGTGTGGCATGGACCACAAGGACTGCAACTCCTAGGTGAGTCGTAGTGCCTGAGATGGGCTAAAAGCCAGTAGACTTGGGGGAAGTGTGGGGGGACATGACTTACTGAGACACCAGCCAGGGCAGCTAAAGGAGTGCTTGTACCACGACTCCCCCAACCCCAGGCAGCACAATTCACAACTTCGAAAGAGACCCCTTCCTTCCGCTTGAGGAGAGGAAAGTAATGAGTAAAGAGGACTTTTGTCTTGCATCTTGGATACCAGCACAGCCACAATAAGATAGGTCCCTGGTCAGAATTGTGAGGTGCCCCCCTTCCAGGCCCTAGCTCCCAGATAACATTTCTAGACATATCCTGGGCCAGAAGGGAACCCGCTACCTTAAGGAAAGGACCGAGTCCTGGAAGGACCCATCACTTGTTGACTAAAGAGTCCTTGAGCTCTAAATAACCAGCAGGGATAGCCAGATAGTACACCATGGAACTTGGGTGAGACCGAGATGTGTTGACTTCAGGTGAGACATGGAATATTACTATCTGTGGTGGCTACAGTGAGACACTTCTATTTGAGAAAAGCAGAAGTAAAGTAAAGGTGACTTCCTTGAGCTCTAAATAAACAGCAGAGATAGCCAGATAGTACACCATGGAACTTGGGTGAGACTGAGATGTGTTGACTTCAGGTGAGACATGGAATATTACTATCTCTGGTGGCTACAGTGAGACACTTCTATTTGAGAAAAGCAGAAGTTAAGTAAAGGTGATTTTTGTCTAGCACCTTAGGTACCAGATCAACCATAGTGAGATAGAGCACCAAGCGGGTCCATGATTCTAGGTGTTGGCCCTTGGACAGCATTTCTTGACATGCCCTGAGCCATAGGAGAGCCCACTGCCCTGAAGGGTGAGTCTCAGGCTTGGCCGACTTCACCACAAGCTGACTGAAGAGCCTTAATCCTTAAGTGAACAATGGCAGTAGTGTAGCAGTTCTCCCCATGGGACAGTGGTGGTGGTGGTCATGAGGTGAGGCTCCTCTGCCTGTGAAAATGGGAGGGAAGAGTGGGAAGAACTGAATTTTGTGGTTTGAGTGCCAGTTCAGTCATAGTAAAATAGAACACCGAGTAGATTTCTAAGGTTTTTGACTATAGCCCTGGTTCCTGGACAGCATCTCTGGACCTGCCTGGGACCTGAGGGAACTAACTGCCCTGAAGGGAAGGACACAAGGTTGTCTGCTTAACCACATGCTGACCATAGAGCCCCAGAGCCGTGGGAAAACATAGGTGGTAGCCAGGTAATGGTTACAGCAGGCTTTTGGCAAGACCCAGTGCTGTGCTGGCTTCATATCTGACCCAGCACAGTCTCAGTGGTGATGGCCACATAAGTGCCTGTGTCACTCCACCATCAGCCCCAAGTGGTTCAGAATAGAGACAGAGAGACTCTATTTGTTTGGTAGAAAGTAAGGTGAGAGAATAAGAGCCTGTCTAGTAATCTGGACACTTCTGGATTTTATCCAAGATTCCAAACTGGGACCTTTATGAGTCTGCAAGAACTACAGCATCACTGGGTTTGGGGTGCCCCCTAATGAAGATACACCTATATCACAACACTCAATTCCTTTCAAATATCTGGAAAGCCTCTCAAAAAATGTATTAGTCCATTTTCACACTGCTACAAAGAACTATGAGACTGGATAATTTATAAAGAAAAGAAGTTTAATTGATTCATGTTTCCACATGGCTGGGGAGCCCTCAGGAAGCTTACAATCATGGTGGAAGGTGAAGGGGAAGCAAGGCACATCTTTCATGGCAGCAGGAGAAAGAGAGTGGGGTGGGGGAACCACCATACACTTTTAAACAATAAGATCTCATGAGAACTCACTTACTATCATGAGAACAGCATGAGGAAACTGCCCCAATGATCGAATCACCTCCCTACCTCGACACATGGGGATTACAATTTGAGATGAGATTTGGGTGGGGACACAGAGCCAGATCATGTCATTACACCCTGGCCCCTCCCAAATCTTATGTCCTTCTCACATTTCTTTTTTCTTTTCTTCTTTTTTTTTTTGAGATGGAGTCTTGCTCTGTCACCCACGCTGGAGTGCAGTGGTGTGATCTCGGCTCACTGCAACCTCTGCCTCCTAGGTTCGAGCAATTCTCCTACCTCAGTCTCCAGAGTAGCTGAGACTACAGGCACCTGCCACCATGCCCAGCTAATTCTTTGAGTTTTCAGTAAAGACAGGGTTCACCATGTTAGCCAAGATGGTCTCGATCTCCTGTCCTCGTGATCTGCCCACCTCAGCCTCCCAAAGTGCTGGGATTACAGGCATTAGCCACTGTCCCCAGCCCAACCTTCTCACATTTCAAAACACAATCATGCCCCCATCATGGTCCCCCAAAGTCTTAACTCATTCCAATATTAACCCAAAAAGCCTAATTCCAAAGTCTTATCTGAGACAAGGCAAGTCCCTTCTGCCTATGAGCCTGCAAATGCTAAAGCAATTTAGTTATTTCCAAGATACAGTGGGGATACAGGCATTGAGTAAATGTTACCATTCCAAAAGGGAGAAATTGGCCACAACAAAGGGGCTACAAGCCTCATGCAAGTCCAAAACCCAGCAAGACACTCACTGAAACTTAAAGTTCCAAAATTTCCTTTTACTCCATGTCTCACATACAGGGCATGCTAAAGCAAGGGGTGGGCTCCCTGGCCTTGAGTAGGGAGATTTGCTCCTGTGGCTCTGCAGGGTACCATCCTTGTGGCTGCTTTTACAAGCTGGTGTTGAGTGTGTGTGGCTTTTTCAGGTGCACGACGCAAGCTGTTGGTGGATCCACCCTTCTGGAGTCTAGAGAATGGTGGCCCTCTTCTCACAGCTCCACTAGTCAGTGCCCCAGGGGGACTATCTGTGGGAGCTCTAACCCCACATTTCCCCTCTGAACTGCCTTAGTGGAGGCTTTACATGAGGGCTCCCTGCAGCCCACTTCTGCCTGGACATCCAGGCATTTTTGTACATCCTCTGAAATCTAGGCAGAGGCTCCTAAAACTCAACTCTTGTCTTCTGTGCACCCACAGGCTCAACACCATGTGGAAGCTGCCAATGCTTGGAGCTTGCACCCTTTGAAGTAACAGCCCTAGCTGTACCTTGGCCCCTTTTAGCTAAGGCTGGAGCTGGAGCAGCTGGGATGCAGGGTACCATTCCCTGAGGCTGCACAGAGGCAGCAGGACCCTGGGCCAGGCCCATGAAACCATTTTTCCCACCTAGGCCTTTGGGCCTGTGACGAAGATCTCCAAAATGCCCTGGAGACATTTTCCCCATTGTCTTGGCTATTAACATTTGGCTCCTTGTTACTTATGTAAATTTCTGCAGCCAACTTGAATTTTTCCCTAAAAAATGGGTTTTTCTTTTCTTTTTTTTTTTTTTCCATTTTGAGTTTATTTTATGAAAATTGTAAAGTATGGCAAACATCTTTATTTATTTATTTATTTATTTATTTATTTATTATTATACTTTAAGTTTTAGGGTACATGTGCCCAATGTGCAGGTTAGTTACATATGTATATATGTGCCATGCTGGTGCGCTGCACCCACTAGCTCATCATCTAGCATTAGGTATATCTCCCAGTGCTATCCCTCCCCCCTCCCCCCACCCCACAACAGTCCCCAGAGTGTGATGTTCCCCTTCCTGTGTCCATGTGTTCTCATTGTTCAATTCCCACCTATGAGTGAGAATATGCGGTGTTTGGTTTTTTGTTCTTGCGATAGTTTACTGAGAATGATGATTTCCAATTTCATCCATGTCCCTACAAAGGACATGAACTCATCATTTTTTATGGCTGCATAGTATTCCATGGTGTATATATGCCACATTTTCTTAATCCAGTCTATCATTGTTGGACATTTGGGTTGGTTCCAAGTCTTTGCTATTGTGAATAATGCCACAGTAAACATACGTGTGCATGTGTCTTTATAGCAGCATGATTTATAGTCCTTTGGGTATATACCCAGTAATGGGATGGCTGGGTCAAATGGTATTTCTAGTTCTAGATCCCTGAGGAATCGCCACACTGACTTCCACAATGGTTGAACTAGTTTACAGTCCCACCAACAGTGTAAAAGCGTTCCTATTTCTCCACATCCTCTCCAGCACCTGTTGTTTCCTGACATTTTAATGATTGCCATTCTAACTGGTGTGAGATGGTATCTCACTGTGGTTTTGATTTGCATTTCTCTGATGGCCAGTGATGGTGAGCATTTTTTCATGTGTTTTTTGGCTGCATAAATGTCTTCTTTTGAGAAGTGTCTGTTCATGTCCTTCGCCCACTTTTTGATGGGGTTGTTTGTTTTTTTCTTGTAAATTTGTTTGAGTTCATTGTAGATTCTGGATATTAGCCCTTTGTCAGATGAGTAGGTTGCGAAAATTTTCTCCCATTTTGTAGGTTGCCTGTTCACTCTGATGGTAGTTTCTTTTGCTGTGCAGAAGCTCTTTAGTTTAATTAGATCCCATTTGTCAATCTTGGCTTTTGTTGCCATTGCTTTTGGTGTTTTAGACATGAAGTCCTTGCCCATGCCTATGTCCTGAATGGTAATGCCTAGGTTTTCTTCTAGGGTTTTTATGGTTTTAGGTCTGACGTTTAAGTCTTTAATCCATCTTGAATTGATTTTTGTATAAGGTGTAAGGAAGGGATCCAGTTTCAGCTTTCTACATATGGCTAGCCAATTTCCCCAGCACCATTTATTAAATAGGGAATCCTTTCCCCATTGCTTGTTTTTCTCAGGTTTGTCAAAGATCAGATAGTTGTAGATATGCAATGTTATTTCTGAGGGCTTTGTTCTGTTCCATTGATCTATATCTCTGTTTTGGTACCAGTACCATGTTGTTTTGGTTACTGTAGCCTTGTAGTATAGTTTGAAGTCAGGTAGTGTGATGCCTCCAGATTTGTTCTTTTGGCTTAGGACTGACTTGGCAATGCGGGCTCTTTTTTGGTTCCATATGAACTTTAAAGTAGTTTTTTCCAATTCTGTGAGGAAAGTCATTGGTAGCTTGATGGGGATGGCATTGAATCTGTAAATTATCTTGGGCAGTATGGCCATTTTCACGATATTGATTCTTCCTACCCATGAGCGTGGAATATTCTTCCATTTGTTTGTATCCTCTTTTATTTTGTTGAGCAGTGGTTTGTAGTTCTCCTTGAAGAGGTCCTTCACATCCCTTGTAAGTTAGATTCCTAAGTATTTTATTCTCTTTGAAGCAATTGTGAATGGGAGTTCACTCATGATTTGGCTCTCTGTTTGTCTGTTGTTGGTGTATAAGAATGCTTGTGATTTTTGTACATTGATTTTGTATCCTGAGACTTTGCTGAAGTTGCTTATCAGCTTAAGGAGATTTTGGGCTGAGACAATGGGGTTTTCTAGATATACAATCATGTCGTCTGCAAAGAGGGACAATTTGACTTCCTCTTTTCCTAATTGAATACCCTTTATTTCCTTCTCCTGCCTAATTGCCCTGGCCAGAACTTCCAACACTATGTTGAATAGGAGTGGTGAGAGAGGGCATCCCTGTCTTGTGCCAGTTTTCAAAGGGAATGCTTCCAGTTTTTGCCCATTCAGTATGATATTGGCTGTGGGTTTGTCATAGATAGCTCTTATTATTTTGAGATATGTCCCATCAATACCTACTTTATTGAGAGTTTTTAGCATGAAGGGTTGTTGAATTTTGTCAAAGGCCGGGTTTTGCTTTTCTACCACATGATTAGGTTGCAAATTTTCCAAACTTTTATGTTCTGCTTCCCTTTAAACATAATTTCCAACTTCAGACTATCTCTTTGGAATGAATATGACTGTATGCTTTCAGAAAAAGCCAGGTCACATCTTGAATGCTTTACTGCTTTGAAATGTCTTCTGCCAGATACCCTAAATCATCTCTCTCAAGTTCAAATTTCTACAGGTATCTAGGGCAGGGGCAAAATGCCACCAGTGTCTTTGGTAAAGAATAGGAAGTTTGACCTTTGCTCCGGTTCCCAGTAAGGTCCTCATCTCCATCTGAGACCACCTCAGCATGAACTTCATTGCCCATATCACTATGAACATTTTGGTCAAAACAATTTGACAAGTCTCTAAGAAGTCCCAAATGTTTCCACATTCTCCTGTCTTCTTATGAGCCCTTCAAACTTTTCCAACTTTTGCCCGTTACCCAGTTCCAATGTTGCTTCCACATTTCCAGGTATCTTTATAGCAGCACTCCACTTTCCCAGTGCCAATTTTCTGTATTAGTTTGTTCTCACATGGCTATAAGGAAGTACCTGAGACTGGGTAACTTATAAAGGAAAGAGGTTTCATTGGCTCATAGTTGCTCATGGCTGGGGAGACTTCAGGAAACTAAAATCATGGAAGAAGGTGAAGGGGAAGCAAGGCACATCTTACATGGTAGCAGGAGAGGCAGAACGAGAGAGGGGAACCACCGCACACTTTTAAACCATCAGATCTTGTGACAATTCCCTCACTATCATGAGAACAGCATGGGGGAACCTCCCCCATGATCCAGTCACCTACAACTAGGTCCTTCCCTCAGCACATGGGGATTACAATTTGAGATGAGATTTGGGTGGGAACACAGAGCCAACCATATCAGATAGCTACCAATAAGCCAAGACAGTGAAGACTACAATAAACACCTAACTCTTCAATGCCCAGACACCAAAGAACAGCTACTAACACCAACACCATCCAGGAAAACATGACCTCACTAAATGAACTAAATAAGGCACAATAACACATCCTGGAGAAACAGAGATATGTGACCATTCAGATGGAGAATTCAAAATAGCTGTGTTGAGAAAACTCAAAGATATTCAAGATAACACAGAGAAGGAATTCAGAATTCTATCAGATAAATTTAACAAAGACATTAACATTGTTAAAAAAATCAAGCAGAAATTCTAAAGTTGAAAAATGGAATTGACAAACTGAAGAATGTGTCAGTGTTTTAATAGCAGAATCAATCAAGCAGAAGAAGGAATTAGTGAGCTTGAAGACAGGATATTTAGAAATGCAGTCAGAGGAGGCAAAAGAAAAAAGAATGAAAATGAATGAAGCACACCTTCAAGATCTAGAAAACAGTCTCAACAAGGCAAATCTAAGAGTTATTGGACTTAAAGAGGAAGTTGAGAGAGAAACAAGGTAGAAAGTTTATTCAAAGGGATAATAACAGAGAACTTCCTAAACCTAGCGAAACATATCAATGTCCAAATACAAGAAGGCTATAGAACACCAAGCTGATTTCACCCAAAGAATACTAACTTGAGACATTTAATAATCAAACTCCCAAAGGTCAAGGATAAAGAAAGAATCCTAAGGGCAGTAAGAGAAAAGAAACAAATAACATAAAATAGAGCTTCAATATGTCTGGCAGCAAAATTTTCAGGGAAATCTTACAGGCCAGGAGAGAATAGCATATTTAAAGTTCTGAAGGAAAATAACTATATCTTGCAAAAATATCCTTCAAACATGGAGAAATAAAGACCTTACCAGACAAACAAAAGCTGAAGGATTTCATCAATACCAGACCTTCCTACAAGAAGTGCTAGAGGGAGTTCTTCAATCTGAAAGAAAGGAATGTTAATTAGCAATAAGAAATCATCTGGCTAGGAGCAGTCGCTCATGCCTGTAATCCCAGCACTTTGGGAGACTGACGTGGGAGGATCGTGAGGGCAAAAGATGGAGACCGTCCTGCCCAACATGGTGAAACCCCATCTCTACTAAAAATACAAAAATTAGCTGGGCGTGGTGGTGTGCACCTGTAGTCCCAGCTACTCAGGAAGCTGAGGCAGGAGAATCTCTTGAACCCAGGAGGTAGAGGTTTCAGTGAGCTGAGATGGTGCTATTGCACTCCAGCTTGGCGACAGAGTGAGACTCCATCTCAAAAAAAAAAAAAAAAGAAAAAGAAAAAGAAATCATCTAACGGTACAAAACTCAGTGGTAATAGTAAGTACACAAAAAAACCACAGAATATAACCCTGTAACTGTGCTGTGTAAGCTATTGTTATCTGAAGTAGAAAGATTAAATGATGAACTAATCAAAAATAACTACAATAACTTTTCAAGACATAGACAGTACAATAAGATATAAATAGAAACAACAGAAAGTTAAAAAGTTAAGGAGCATGAAGTTAAGGTATAGGGTCTTTATTAGTTTTCTTTTTGCTTGTTGGTTTGTTTATACGAATAGTGTTAAGTTGCTATCAGTTTAAAATAACGGATTATAAGATAGTATTTTCAAGCCTCATGGTAACCTCAAACTAAAAAACATACAAGGAATGAACAAAAAATACAAAGCAAGAAACTAAATCATATGACCAGTGACAATCACCTTTACTATAAGGAAGACAGGAAGGAAAGAAAGAAGGAAGAGAAGACCAGAAGACAACCAGAAAACAAATAAC
This sequence comes from Homo sapiens, assembly GCF_000001405.40. Lineage (NCBI taxonomy): Eukaryota > Metazoa > Chordata > Mammalia > Primates > Hominidae > Homo > Homo sapiens. Next base: position 167,591,932 of record NC_000003.12, on the reverse strand, counting down.
AAAATGGCAGAAGTAAGTCTTTACTTGTCAATAATAGCATTGAATGTTAATGGACTAAACTCTCCAATCAAACGACATAGCAGAGTGATTGGATAAAAAAAAACAAGACCCAATTATCTATTGCCTACAAGAAAGACACTTAACCTATAAAGACACACACTGACTGAAAATAAAGGAAGGAAAAATGATATTCCATGCCAGAATGGAAGAACAGGAGTCCCTATATTCATATCAGACAAAATAGATTTCAGGCCAAACCTATAAGGGACAAAGAAATCATTATATAATGATAAATGAATTAGTTCAGCAAGAGAATATAACAATTGTAAATATATGTGTACCCAAAACGGGAGCACCCAGATATATAAAGCAAATTTTATTAGACTTAAATAGAGAGATAGACCACAATACAACAATAGCTGGAGACATCAACACCTGTTTTTCAGCATTGAGAAGATCTTCCAGACAGAAAATCAACAAAGAAACATCAGACTTTGCACTATAGAAGAAATGGACCTAATAGATATTTATAGAACATTTCATCCAACTGCTGAAGAATACAAAATCTTTTTCTGACTACATGAATCATTCTCAGAGATAGACCATATGTTAGGTCATGAAACAAGTCTTAAAACATTCAAAAAATTTAAATAATATCAAGCATCTTCTCTAATCACAAGGTACTAAAACTAGACATCAATAACAAGAGTAATTTTGAAAATTGTACAAATACATGGAAATTAAACAATATTCTCCTGAATGACCAGTGTGTCAATAAAGAAACTGAGAAGGAAATTGAAAAATTACTTGAAACAAATGACAATGGAAACATGGCATACCAAAACCTATGGGATACAGTAAGAGGAGTACTAAAAGAGAAGTTTACAGCTGTCATCAAAAAAGAGAAAAAACTTCAAATAAACAACCTAATGGTGCCTCTTAAAGAATTCAAAAAACAAACCAAACCCCAAATCTGTAGAAGAAAAAATAAAGATCAGAGCAGAGATAAATGAAGTTGAAATGAAGAAAGAATACAAAGATCAATGAAATGAAAAGTTGGTTTTGGAAAAGATAAACAAAATTGACAAAACTTTAGCCAGACTAACTTAGCCAGACTAACTTTCTAGCCAGAAAAAAAAGAGAGAAAACCCAAATAAAATATAAAAGTACAGATGAAAAAGGATATATTATTACTGACACCACTGAAATTCAAATGATTATTAATGGCTACTATGAGCCACTATATGTTAATAACTTGACAAATCTGGAAGAAATGGATAAATTCCTAGACATATACGAACTACCAAGATTGAACCATAAAAATTTTCAAAACCTGAACAGACTAATAACAAGTAATGAGACTGAAGCCATAGTTAAAAGCCTCTCAACAACAAAAAGCCCAGGACCCAAGGGCTTTGCTGCTGAATTTTACCAAACATTAAAAGAAGAACTGGTACCAATCCTACTCAAACTACTCCACAAAGTAAAGGAGGAAGGAATACTTCCAAACTCATTCTACAAAACCATTATTACCCTGATACCGAAACCAGACACAGACACATCAGAAAAGAAAACCACAGGCAGATAGCCCTCATAAACATTGATGCAAAAATCCTCAACAAAATACTACCAATTCAAATTCAACAACACATTTAAAAAATCATTCATTATGACCAAGTGGGATTTATCCCAAGGTTGCAAGAATGGTTCCACATATGCAAATCAATCAATTTGATACATGATGTCAATGGAATGAAGGACAAAAACTAAATAATCGTTCCAATTGATTCTGAAAAAGCATTTGATAAAATTCCACATCTCTTCATGATTTAAAAAACTCAAAAAGTTTTGATATAGAAGAAACATAACTCAATATAATAAAAGCCATATATAAAAGACCAACAGCTAATATCGTATTGAAATGGGAGAAAGTTGAAAGCCTCCCATCTAAGATCTGAAGAATGCCCACTATGTTATTCAATATAGTACTGTAAGTCCTAGCTAGAATAATCAGACAAGAGAAATATAAAAAGGGCATCCAAATTGGAAATGAAGAAAGCACATTATCCTTATTTGCAGATAATAACATCTTGTATTTGGAAAAACCACTCCACCAAAGAACATTAGAATGGTAAGCAAATTCAGTAAAGTAGCAGGATACAAAATCAACATAATCAGTTGCATTTCTATATGCCAACAACAATCTGAAAATCAAGAAAATAATCCCGTTTAGAATAGCTACAAATAAAATTAAATATCTAGGAATAAACTTAACCAAAAGAGTGAAGGATTTGTATGATGAAAAGTATAAAACATTAATGCAAGACATTGAAGAAGCTACAAAAATGGAAAGATATTCCATGTTCATGGTCTGGAAGAATAAATATTGTTAAAATGTCCATATTACCAAAAGCAATATACAGATTTAATGCAATCCCTATCAAAATACCAATGACATTCTTCATAGAAATAGGAAAAACAATCCTAAAATTTATGTGGAATCACAGAAGACCCAGAATAGCCAAGGCTATCCTAAGCAAACAGAATAAAAGTGAAGGAATCACACTAACTGACTTCAAATTATACTATGGAGCTACAGTAACCAAAACGTCATGACACTGGCATAAAAACAAACACATAGACCAGTGGAATAGAATGGAGAATCCAGAAATAAATCCATACATCTACAGTGAATTCATTTTAGACAGTGGTGCCAAGAACATATATTGAGGAAAAGACAGTTTCTTCAATAAATGGTGCTGGGTAAATTGAATATCTATATGCAGAAGATAATATTAGACACCTAAATCTTGTCATATACAAAAATTAAATCCAAATTGATTATAGATTTAAATCTAATACCTCAAACTATGAATCTGCTAAATAAAAACATTGGAGAAACTGTCCAGAATATTGGACTAGGCAAAAATTTCTTGAGCAATACCCCACAAGCACAGGCAACTGAAGAAAAAATGGATGAGTGGGATCACATTAAGTTAAAATGCTTCTGCGCAGCAAAGTATACAATCAATAAAGTGAAGAAACAACCCACAGAACGGGAGAAAATATTTACAAACTATCCATCTGACAAGGGATTAATAACCAGAATATACAAGGAGCTCAAACAATTCTAGGAAAAAAAATCTAACAATCTGATTAAAAATGGGCTAAATACCTGAACAGACATTTCTCAAAAAAAGACAAATGGCAAACAGGCATATGAAAAGGTGCTCGATATTATTTATTATCAGAGAAATGCAAATCAAAATTACAATGAGATATCAAATTTACAATGTTACCCCAGTTAAAAATGGCTTATATCCAAAAGACAAGCAATAACAAATGCTGGTGAGGATGTGGATAAAAGGGTATTCTCATGCATTGTTGGTAGGAATGTAAATTGGTAAAACCACTGTAATAGAGCTAAAAATTGAGCTGCCGTATGATCCAGCATTCCCACTACTAGGTATATACCCCAAAGAAAAGAAATCAGTATATCGTATAGATATCTGCACTTCCATGTTTGTTGCAGCACTGTTAACAATAGCCAAGATTAGGAAGCAACCCAAGTGTCCATCAAAAGATAAATGGATTAAGAAAATGTGGTATTTACAAACAGTAGAGTACTACTCAGTCATAAAAAAGAGTAAGATCCTGTCACTTGCAATAACATGGTTGGAACTGGAGGTCATTATGCTGAGTGAAATAAGCCAGTTAGAGAAAGACAAACTTTAGGTGTTCTCACTTATTTGTGGGAGCTAAAAATTAAAACAATTGAACTGATGGAGATAGAAGAAGAATGGTTATTAGAGGCTGGGAAGGGTAGTGGTGGGGGAGGTTGGAGAGGAAGTGGGTATGGTTAATGGGTATAAAAAATAGAAAGAATTAAGAGGACCTAGTATTTGCTAGCACAACAGAGTGACTATAGTAAAAAATAGTTTAATTGTACATTTACAATATCTAACATAATATAATTGGATTGCTTGTAACACACAGGATAAATGCTTGAGGTGATAGCTACTCCATTTACCCTGATGTGATTATTACGCAATGTATATCTGTATCAGAATATCTCATGTAATCAATAAATATATACACCTACTCTGTACCCACCAAAATAAAAAAATTAATTAGAAAAAATGAAAAAGAGGGCTCGTGTGGTGCCTCACGCTTGTAATACCAACACTTTGGGAAGCTGAGGTGGGTGGATCACTTAAGCCCAGGAGTTCAAGATCAGCCTAGGCAACATGGAAAAACCCATCTCTACAAAAAATACAAAAATTAGTGGGCATGGTGGCGCACACCTGTAGTCCCAGCTACCCGAAAGGCTGAGGTAGGGCAATCATCTAAGCCTGGTAGGCTGAGGCTGCAGTGAGGCGTGATCATGCCATTGCACTCCAGCCTGGGTGACAGAGAGGGACCCTGTCTCAAAAAAGAAAAAGTGAAAAAAAAGGTCAGTGTCTTTTCAGCTTGTATTCTTGGTATTTATCACAGTGCTTGGCACCTTGTAGTGCTTATTCAATAGTTATATGTTGACAGCTTGAAGTGAAGACATATTACTTTGAGTCTAAAGTATCAAAAAACTTGAGTGAAACCTTTTATGATGCCCTAGTTAGATTTAGCTGGCCTACTTTTTGAGATCTTTTAGCACTTTGTTTCATTTCCATTATTGAATTTAACACAATCTGATTTGGATACCGGAGCATTGTATATGTATATTGTATTTTTCATTAGATTCTGACTGCTTGAAGGTAAAGATTATTTGTTGAATTTATTTTTGTGTTTCCCAAGACCTAGAAAATATTAATGTATTAAATACATGTTAAATATAATATATGAAACAGTATAACTATCAACTAAATGATAGGATTCATAAGGTTAGGGGCAATGTCTTTCTGGAATTATACCATATATATACCAGGTCCCCAATAAATTGTAGTTAAATAAGAGAATCTTTATCAAATATAAATATGAAACAAGTATCAGATATTTTGTCATTAAGACTTCCCCGAGAGGTTTTATAACGTAAAAGCAAGTGAAAAAATGTCTTTAGAGTCACAGGTGATTATGTACAGCTATCATCAATGCTAAGACTACCTGGCCTCTTCCAAAAACAATTTATCTTTCTATTTTTGTTTTGTTTGCATTACATTATAATGAAGCTTGTCATGTTGTCTTTCATGTTAGTCTAAATCTATTTCACTTTAATAAATGCATCGTGATCTCAGTCTTTACGTCTTTACAACAAACAACAATGCATTCTGCCACCAGGGTAAGCCTCTGCTTTATTGCTGTCAAAGTCTTTTGGATATTTTATAGGACTGGGGTTAAGTTAGAAAAAATGAAAACACATTATGTTTTCAAGAGCTTTTGATTGAAACATGTTTTGGTCAATGAATTGCTGAATTAGAAGATCTATAGACAAAGCAATTTAAATCTACAAAATTTTCTCCAAAAATGATCTGAAACTTCATTTCGTTTTTGGAAATCTTCTCTATTGCTATTTTCCAGTGGTGATTAAAGAGTTCAATCGTATTTTGCTTTGAACTCCTAAACTGATTCTCTTGAGATGGCAGTCACTGGTGGTAAGGCCCTGTTGAGGGCAAGTAACTTAGTCATTTGGAGAGGAACCACCATGGGGAGTAAAAAAGATTTTTGAAGCCTATGTCAAACTCTCTGATGGAGACTGACATTCAGCCTGTGGGCCTAATTCAGCTTTTTCATTACTCCTAACTATTCTCCCCGAGGCCACTAATCCTGATTTGGTCAGCAGAAGCAAATCAGTTTGTGGCTTAATCCTTTGTTTGAGGTTCTGATTTTTCTCAGAACCTGGCTTCTATATTGTAGACCTATGGTTGGTAAGAACAATACAATCAGAATTTTGTCTTACCATTTATCTTCTTTTCTTTTTTTCCACACTGTTCCCCATCCCGACTTCCATCTATCCATCCAGAAACAAAGGATTTTCATTTAAAGTACGCCGGTAAATGGATTAATGCCCTCCTATAAAAATTGCAAATGATGAGGAAGCATGTAGTGCAAAAAGTAAATATTCCTTATGATCATTTCCCCTTCAAATCCATTTCTTTCCCAAGGAATAACTATCATCAACCCTAGACGTGTATCTTCTTATATTGTTTTGCTATATACTTACTATGTTATACATAATAATGTATTATAATAATATGTCATTATAACAAAATACAACTTTATTTAATGTTATTATATATATTATCCTTTGAGTGTGAACAAATACAGGGTAGTATTTATTATTAGTTTTTATGTAAATGGTATCATATGACACATATTTTTTCTACAATTTGCTTTTTCCTAAACAGTATCTCTTGAAGATCTTTATAGATAGACACATAGATATACATATATCTGTATTTTTTGGCTATACAGCAATTCTTAGTATGGATGGCCATAATTTAACTACTTAATCACCTGTTGATTAAAGGAGATATTGTTTCTAAGTTGTTTATCTTTGTTAGCCATGACACACACACACACACACACACACACACACACACACACACACGCACCCTTTTAAGACCTCTTAGGTTAATGTTTTTGTAATAAGTTTCTAGAAGTTATGCTATTAGATCTCAAAGGCTTTACATAAATATTGCCTATTACAGTGAAGAAGTGTTGTACCAATAGGCATGCTCATCAGGGGTATATGAAAGTGTCTGTTTTCTCATATTCTTGTCAGCAGTGAAAATGTGTTCATTTTTGTGTGTGAACCTGATGAACAAAAACTAGGGTGAATTTCTTTTGCAAATATTTATTGGCCATTTATAGTTCTTGATTTTTGTGCAATATCTGATCATGCCATTTATCTAAGGAAAGCATTTCTTAGACTCAATATTATAAATATTTAAAACTTTTGAATGAAAAAAACAAAATTTAAAAATGTGTGCTCTAAAGAGGCAAAATATTTGCAATGCATATAACAAAGAAAAGATAATAAAAAATGTTAAGCTATTACGATCAAGAAAAAGATAGTCAAGACTTAAAAAAATGAGTCTAAGGAATGATTTTCTTTATGGCTCTAACCTAGACACAAATTTAGACACAAAATATTTTCCACATCTCCTATTTGTAAGTTATTATAAAAATATTCTTTATTTTCTGCTAATACTTTTTCTATTGTTGATTATTTTTGCATTTAACTTTATGGTTCATTTTTGTGTAGATTTTTTCTACAAATGGTTGCCTAAGGTTATTTTTTGGATAATCTGTCTCTACTACTGATTTGAAATGCCATTGTTATCATCATCTGAATTACTAAATATACATGAATTTGTTTGTATATGCTTTATTCTTTCCATTAATTTACTTGTCTTTTCCTATGCTAATATACGATGGTTTAACCATTCTCTTTTTTGTGTACTTTGATGCCAGGTAGGGTAATTCCTACTTATTGTTTTTCTTTTTCCATTTGAACTATCCTCCAACATATTATCCTTCCAAGTAAATTTTAGGATCAGTACAAATGTCCCATTCCCATGAAAAGCCCTATCAGTATTTGGATTGAAATTTCATTAAGTTTGGTAATGTTTGACATCTTTAAGATATTGAGAAAGAGCTCTCAGTATTTCTCTGTTTATTCACTCTTCACTATCTTCCATAAAAATTGCATGCTTTAATTTACATCCCATTCTAAGTTCAGATTTTTTTTCTCCATATTTTAGGAGGCATTCTTATCATATTCTTGACTTTCTTGAGGTTGTTTCTAATGGAGAGGAGGCCACTTTCTCTATTACTCATACACTGGGTTTTAATTTCAACTAACTTTTTTTCTAAAAGGTTTTCTTGAACTCTCTTGTAATTTTGGATAGTCTCTTGTTGCTTGTTCATTTAGGGGATTCTGACTTGTAGCTCTTTAATGTTATACCTAATTATTTTACATTCTTGCTTGTAATGAGAATATCTGGAGTTCATTGTGTTCTAAACTTGATATTTGCTATTCTGGTGATTCTTCCTCATAGTGACTTGTTTCCTTTTATGCTTGATTATCTTTCTCACTCCCTCATTTTTTACTGTTACTAATATATAGTTATTCTGAGGAACTAAATTGAAGATGCTTTCTTCCAGAGAAGATTTGTGTTTGTTTCTGTAGGGTATAATGAAATGTGCAAAACTACTGTCTTGAGGCTACTGCATTCTGCATCTCAGTTGTCCAGTTTAACAGTCTCACCTCAATGGCTGTACCTTGCTATTGGGCCAAGGCTTAGGCTTCTGGTTGTTGTTCTTTCCTTTATGTCTACTGTTCAGTGTCCCCATTTTAAGTTTGTTTCTTTTTCCCTTGTTTTTTTGGACCCATGGAAATACTTCTTACTCCCTGAAGGCCCAGCAAGGCAACAGAAATTATGCTTTATTTTTCTGGATTTTTTTTATAGAGACAGGGTCTTTGTATGTTGTCCAGGCTGGTCTCAAGCTCCTGGCATCAAATGATTTTCCCACCTCGGCCTCCCAAAGTGCTGAGATTACAGATGTGGCCACCACAGCTAGCCAAAAATTATGTTTTATTCAGAACTGTATTTCTTTGAAGCAGGAAGACCCCTTACAAAAACCTAGTTTTTAATGATAATTTAATCGGAATTCTCATGCTGTAGCTGCTTTTGATTTTTTTTAAAGTTGTTAGTATAAATATTGAGTAAAAAAAGAATTTTAAAATTTAAAGAGTTTTAATTTACATTGTAAATTAAAAGAGGAGCTGTGATCTTTGAAAGTTAAACGACATTTTTAAAGGCAAAAATTCTGTTAAGGTTTTAATGTTATGTGAATAATGATAATTGCAAGAATCAAGCTGAGATTTAAAAATTCTCCAAATGAACTTCTGTCCTGAAAAAAGAAAGCACCTTAAATGAAATGTTGGCATTAGTTAAATTTATTGCAAATTTGTTTTTCTCTCTCTCTCTCTTTCTCTCTCTATCTGTGTGTGTGTGTGTGTGTGTATGTGTGTGTGTGTGTGTGTTTGTTTTGAGACAAAGTCTTGCTCTATTGCCCAGGCTGGAGTGCAGTGATCTTGACTCACTTCAACCTCTGCTTCTCAGGCTCAAGCAATTCTCCTGCCTCAGCCTCCCATGTAGCTGGAATTACAGGCCTGCACTATAATGTCCAACTACTTTTTTGTAGTTTTAGTAGAGATGTGATTTCACCATGTTGGCCAGGCAGGTCAACTCCTGACCCCAAGTGGTCTGCCTGCCTCGGCCTCCCAAAGTGCTGGTGTGAGCTACTGTGCCCAGCCTATTGCAAATTAGAACTGGGAAATCAATGAGATTTCTGCCCAACAATTCAGAGTTGTTAGACAATGTTTTGCCTCTTTTAAGGTCAATGAAAGAATAAACAGACACATAGTGGAAATTCGAGTCTTAGAGCTGTGTGTCTTCTCTCATTTCTGTTGAAGAGAACTAAAAAAAAATAGTATAACTATTATAATAGTTATAGTAGCAATTTAAAGATAAACGGCAGAAGAGAAGATTTTAATTTCAAACTAGTATTTTAAGTTTGATTTTAGTCCTGGGGAAAAAAATAGCAAAAATCTTTTCTGAAGGAAGAAATGTTATATGACTTTAAGATAAAAATGTTAGCCAAGGTATTCAGTAGAATAGTTCTGCTAGCATACATCATGTCAAACAAAATTGTCTTTAAGCATTTACTGATTATGCTTTTGTGGATTACTGAGAGGCTTAACTTCTAAATAAATAGATTGTTAGTACATAAAAGTGTGTTCAGGAAAAGCAATGCCCTCCATTCCTGTTATCCTATTATCTGCAAGTATGCTATCCATTTGTGTGGATTGCTCCCGGTGAGCTGGGCTGCTGCACTACTGTACTCAAAAATCCCCTAGCAATACACACACACACACACACACACACACACACACACACACGGAAGCATGCCCACACTCTCCCTTTTTTCTTATTGTTATTTTATATCTATCTCTAACAGGATAACAGGAGTTAGTAAATGTTTGATAAAGCCAAGCAGGTCTCCTTTAAATGGAGTCATGTGAGTCTGTTTTCTACTTCTCCTTCACTTTTATGCCTTTATGAGGAAATTACAAATTGTTTTATTTTCTGACTACTTTGAATTAAACATGTTGCTAGTATGTAAATAATACTGATTTGGATTTAAAAGTGCACTGAAAATAGATTTTCTATCCATTCACACATCTATTTATACCCCTACCTATATCTGTGAAGTTATCTACTTATAAATGTAACATTTGTAGCACAGAAGAAAAGCTTTATTTCATTATTTACTTGTTGATTTATTATAGTTCTATGATGCCTGTGTGAATAATAGTGATTCTGTCCACCTCTGGCTGGGAGTAGGGGATTCTTCAGCAAAGCTAGGCTGAAAACATGGTGATGTCCTACATTTCTTTGATTCAATCCTCACAATGTACCTTTTTAATTCGTTTGAAATATTGTTATTTTAGAATATTTAGATAATGGATTGAGTAATTTGACTACATTGTAGACAAATTTGACAGAATTCCAGAGTTGGTAGGGGCCCCTTCAGCAGAAAGATGAGAAAATGGAAAGATAAAAATCACATACCTGAACTGCCTAGGATGAAAACTAGGATTGGGTGTCTGGAGTCTCAATCCATTGATTTCTAGGTCTATTGTGTATAAGTAATACAGTATTCACTTGTAATATTGCATTCCTATAAGGTTAACGGTTAAAAGAAGATAAAGATTATGCAAGAAAATGTCATTATCATTATTTGAAAAGCTATATGATATTACTAATTATGGCAAAATTTATTTGCCTTAATATAAAATCATAAACTTAGGTGCTTATTCTTGTTAATCTACAAGTGAAGATGAAATACAGAGCTCCCAAACATGCCCGTTCATGGACTTGACTTAGTAAGCCTGAGTTTAGACAGATATCACAAGTTCTCAGATATAATGATGCAAATAGATACAGATCAATTTAAATAAAACTTTGTGGATAATACAAATTAAAAAAATTATTCCATTGTAATTTTTAAGCTTAAAAGTTTGTGAATCTGTTTTCTCTACTAAAAATAAAGAAAACCCTTCTAGGATATCTGAAATGAAAATTGAAATTAAACATATTCCTTTCTGAACTGTGGTTTAATTCTATTCCAGAAGTCAACTTGAATATAAAAGAAGGTGAGAACGCAGGATTCTCAGATAATAACTAGATATTTAAGTGACATTTTTGTCAAAGGACTTGATTAATAAAACTGAATTAATGTGAGGGCTTTTATGATTAGAAGGATATAGACTGAATAAAAAAGAAGGGGAATACAATTACCTGGTTTAAAGCTAAGCTATGCGATATTACTAATTAAGCTGAGGGAAAGATTTCTTTTTCAAGGAGATTATCATTGACCTTAAAACAAAACAGAGAAGTTAGGTATAATGCAAAGGAAATGCCTGGGAATAAAAAACTAATGTCTGAGCCCCATCCTCAGAGATTCTGATTTAATCGGTCTGGGAAAGGGCCAAAGCATAGGAGATTTCTCGAGCATCATAGGTGTTTCTAAAGTCAAGTTTAAGAACCACTGGCAGGGAAAATTAAGAACATAAGGGAGGTCATATACCGTCACCCATTTTATGCTTTTATGGCTGTACTTCAATGCTGTTGCTTAATTCTCAGCAGAAAGCAAAATTAGAGAATTAAAGATGGAAGGTGGACTTAGTGGGATCGTTAGTTGAGAGAGTTTAGGGTTGCCTAGAAGAAGAAGAACAGTAAACATTAATTTAAAAAATTAACAAATGTGCACATTCTGAAAAAAATTTCTAGTTTTAATTGCTAACAACAAGAAGTAACCTGTTGTAGACTAGACAGGTTATGGCTCACCTGTTTTTAATTTATCATATAATTTATGTGACTAAATGTCAGTGAAATATCAAATCCAATATAAATTACTTAACACAATGAAAAATGATTCTGGAGAAATTATAGTTCATCAGTACTGTGGAGTTATTGTCAATGTGTATTCAACTATACCCTATATTATTATTATGACATGAAGTTAGTTTCTATTTCTTAGAAGGGGTCCATACTAAACAAGACAGGATTTTGAATGATGAAGACGTGATTATCATTAGTAATATGAGTATTTGAGAATGATCTAGATGTGTCTAATTTTATAACTGTAACATTCAAAATAAAAGCTTATCAATTCTATTTATATTTATAACAGAATTCATGTTTTTTAAGATAAACATTTCCTGGAGAGCTGCCAGAATGTTTTAAACAATTTTTTTAAAATTTTTTTAGTGATGATTAAAAACCAGAATGAGTTCTTTAATAAAAATCTTTGGCAAGAAAACCCAATTTTCTCTATGAATATACATTCTTAGGGTCAGAGGGTTTGGTGATGTGGTTTACCAAGTAGAGACTGACTAGGTTAGTTCAAGCTTGTTATAAGGGCTGGTAGTTAGAGTAAATGGAGACATTACCCTATGCTAGAAGCATAATTATTTCTGTAAGATATTTTAAAAAGTCCCATAAAATTTCATTGAGGATTATGTGAGAACTGCAATTGGGTAAATAAATATGTGGAAGTGAGGCAGACTTTTTTGTGGGAGTGTTGTATTCTTGGGCATATCCTGTTTGATCTTTTCATCAATGATCTGGGTATAGACAGAGTGAGCCACAATCTTTAATTCAAAAAATATTTATTGAACACTACCTATGTCTGTATTAGCCCATTTTCACACTGCTATAAAGAATTACCTGAGACTGGGTAATTTATAAAGGCATGGTGAGGAACTGACTCACAGTTCCACACAGCTAAGGAGGCCTCAGGAATATACAATTATGGCAGAAGGTGAAGGGGAATCAAGGGCCTTCTTCACATGACGGTAGGAGAGAGAAGTGCGAGTAGGGGAAAAGCCAGATGCTTACAAAACCATCAGATCTTGTAAAAACTCACATACTATCACAAGAACAGCATGGGAAATTAGGATTCAAAATGATATTGTCACTTGAAACTCTAGATCAAAAATAGGGAAAATTTTAGTCTTAATTAAAAAATATATTTTTGGAAACAGGATAGTAGACATCTGGCTTGGTTATTTGTTCCTGGGAATAATATATAGAATTTTGCTCAATTAAGACATCAAGGCAAGTGAAAAGCATGATGGAGAGGCTTAATCAGCTAATGCAAAAATAGGCTGCTTTAAAGAAATCATAGCACCTGTAATGATTAGAACACACTGGAAATATTGGCTCCATTCTGGATGACTTGCTTAAAGCAGATCTTTAAAGATTTTTAGGTGCTTACAGATAGTGTTAAATTAGTGGGTCAATAATTAATGTATAAACATATTTAAAATAATAACAATAGGACTAAAAAAATTAACATGCTAACTTGGGAGAAATGGGAGGAGAAAGGGAGAAAAGGAGTATTAGTAATTTTTCTTCTTCTTTCTGAGTCACTAGATATAGTTGTATAAAAATATATACACCACACACATATATACACACACATGTGTGCACAATTATATTATTTAGTGTTGTGGAAAAAAATCATAAACAAGAAAGAGTAAAAGAGTAAAAGAAGGCCATCTCTAAGGATTGGGACTAGGGGTAGAATATATGGCTTGAGATAAAAGCCCTCTGGTGCTATTTGACTTTATACAATGGACGCATCTTACCATGGTTTTTAAAAGTAAACAAGGGCTGGATGACTACCCTCCCCTAGAGAGAAAGTGGAAACAAAGACATTGAGAGAATCAAGAGGCCACCATGGTAGGTGGTAGTGAGATCTGAAAACTGATATTGAAATGGTTGAAAGAATTGGGATCATTTAACCTGGAGAAAAGGGGTAAGAGGAAGCTTATGCAGGTGTGAGAAGAAGGTAGGATAGAATGAAAAGGTAGAAGAAGATTTCTTTGGCTGAATATATTTAATAATTACTGTAGGGATTCCTATCTTGTAGATTCCTAGGACCTGTTAGTATGTTTGTGAGGTGTGTCTATGTACCCAAATAAATTATATGTAAAATTGTACATATATATGGCTGTGGGCATTTGATGAGTTGGGATAGAACCATCATTTTCAATAGATTTTTTTCCCAAAGCAGTGTATGATTTAAAATAGGTTAAAAACTATAAGGTTGCCTGCCTTATGGGGCAATAAGGACTCATCTAAACAGAAACTATCTTTTATAGATAATTTAGAAATAATTTTCATGTTGGATAGACTAGTTTATTTGAAATATTGTTTTCTGCTTTTAGGTTCTAATATTTACACAATGAAAAAATAAAATAGACATAATAATAAGGAACATTCATTGAACGCATTACAGGCTGGTCATCATGTTAAGTGCTTGACATAGACTCTCATTTAATTCTCATAGCATTAGGTGAGGTAGACACTACATTAAAAACTCAGATTAAAAAAAAAACTTATTGGAGGTCCCCCTGTTAGTAAGGAACAGAACTGAGATTAGAACCCAGGAAATCTGACCCTAGGTTACAGAGATAGGGTTAAGATAAAAGCCCTGTGGTGATTTTTGATTTTGTACAACAGATACATTCTACATGTTTTTTAAAAGTAAACAAGGTCTTGATGACTTGCCTGATACCCCCTTTTGGAGAGGTTTTTCACTCCCTCAGTAGCCTGTTAATTCTGTACCACTACTGATAGCACCAACACTCACACCTGTGAAGCTCATCTTTCTGTTTTCTTCCTGGGACACTTAGTGTGACTCACCCTCTTTGAAATGAAGGGAGCCATGAGAAAATAGAAGAAAAGGAAAAACAATTTTTTAATGTCTATTGAATCTAAAGCAACCTATTTCTTGAGCAAGGATTTAGTGTTTGCCCTCTACTATCCATTGGTAAATGCATGTCATTTATGTGTCTTGAAGGTGTTTGAATAAGAATTTAATATCTGTGGTTATATGAACTTGACCTCATTTAATGCCACTTCTTTTATTTTACCAAAAATACATATATACATATATACACATACATACATATGTATACATATATATCTATCCACACATATATAGATACATGTATCTACACACACATATATACATATATATGTATACACACATGTATATATAGACAGACGGAGAGAGAACTGTATTAGTTTTCTATTGCTAGTGTAATACATGAGCACAAACTTAGTAGCTTGAAACAGCACAAATTTATTTTGTGTTCTGTAGGTTGGAATTTGACATGAGTCTCATCCTTTCTGGTGGCTCTGGGGGAGAAACCATTCCTTTGTCTTTTCAAGCTTCCTTGGATCATGGCCCTCTTCAAAGCCAGCAAGACTAGGAAGAGTCCTCATATTGCACCACTCTGATCATTTTTCTGCCTCCCTCTTTCACATTTAAAGACCCTTATGATTGGACTCACCCAAATAATCCAGGACAATCTCACCATCTCAAAGTCCCTAATTTAGTCATATCTGCAGAATCTCTTTTGCCACCTAAGATAACATATTCACAGGTTCTGGGAATTAGGACATGGACATCTTTGGGGGACTACTATTCTGCCTACAACAAACACTTACTAAATGCCAAGCCTTATACCAGGGACTGAAATAGAACCCAACCCCTTTCCTAGAGGAGCTTACAATTTAGGAGATATTTAAACAGGTGACTGAAATACAAAATAATAGGTGCTATGGCAGAATTGAGAACCAATTATAGCACTGTGGAGGAAACAACTGTCTGCCTGGTATTGAGGGTGAGCTAGAAAAAAAATTGGCTAAAAGATTACAATTATCTTTGACATATTGAAATGATTTTATCACTTTTCATCCAGGTTTTGAGACTCTGGGATATTCAACACCAGCTGTCCATCCAGAGGATAGCTTGTTCTTTCCCCAAAAGTCAGGACTTCAGATGTCTCTTCCACTTTGATGAAGCCCATGGACGACTTTTCATCTCGTTTAATAACCAGCTAGCATTGTTGGCAATGAAAAGTGAAGCCAGCAAGAGGGTGAAAAGCCATGAGAAAGCAGTCACTTGTGTTCTTTACAATTCTATCTTGAAGCAGGTAATGATGCTTTCTTTTCTTTCACTCTCCTAACATATCTCCAAGTCCAGAGGCTCATTTACTTAATTCAGTTTAAGGTAAAATGAAAGACAAATATAGTAAAGGCAAATATGGGAAGAAATGATTTAATAGCCATGTGCTTTTCTGCAATAATATACATTCAGGTGGACTTGGAGAATGATTTCATTTTCAGCCAGTGACCACAGGAGCAGTGATAGAGTTATAAGGAATTACAGCATTCCAGCTAAAACAAAACAACCTGTAATATAATTGAACTTATCTTTGTTATCTGCTAGTCTTGAGCCAAATGCAAGTGAACCTGCTTGTAAAATTCTATGAACACCATCTTCCGGTATCCCTGTGGAAAGTTCTGAAATATGCATGAAACATAATTAGCAGAGATCCATTTTGCCAGCATATTTTACACCAGTGGTTCACAGTGGCAGCCCAGAATGTATTCATAATAAAATGATTCAGTTAAACATGATGCCACTTGGTATGCAGCACAAGTGTTGTTTGTCTCCCCACCAGTTTAATGACGCTCCGCAGCCTTGGCTTAGGGGACCACTACCTGCATCTCAATGAAGAAGCAGGGCTCCCCTGGAGCAGAGTTACTGCGCAGACCACAGCCCTTCTTGGAGGACAGGGCGGCCCAGGCAGTGAAGCCAGTGAGCTCAGTGTGGGGCAGCCTGTGGGTATCATGAAGGGAGCAAGCAACATCAGAGGTTAGCCTGCTGCAGTGATCCCGTCAGGCCTGATGGTAACAGCACAGCAGGAGCCAAGCAGAAGCAAGTCTCCAGCTTACAGCCAATTAAACAGTAACTCAATCCATTCTTTCTTTTCCCTTCTGCAGAAGCTTCTGCATTCACATAGAAATGACTAGTGGAGATTTTGCGCAAGGGGTGGAAAGCCCTTTGTTAGTAATGGGTAGTGTGTCGTGTCACTATTTAAAACACTGTTTTCTGGTTATTCTAGGAGATAAAATCATTTAGAAAACAACTCATTTTGAATTCCATCTGCGGGAAAACATTTCCTGCTAAATGTTTTACTGATCTTTATGAAGGCAACCAGTTAATTTGACTCCCTGGTGGCCACTGAGAGATGTATTTGCTTCCAAGAGAACATTCTCCTAATTGAGATCTGCAAAGTTAAAATGCTAAATTTGTGTGTAGATGTTAAAATCCTATGTTGCCTGGCCATAAGATGAGCAATATTCCCTGAGAAATTCAGGAAATTAGACACAAAGAAGATCTGGATTTATTTGGGGCATAAAGACAAAGCCAAGGTAACTCACATGCATGCCACTTATAGGCAACCAAAGGACAATGTACATATGGTATATGATGTAGGATGTATCATTATACAATTGAGTTGAGTATTTACACCTCTACTTGCTGTGAATAACATAAATAATGATAAGCATTGATATGTATGTAAAGCACATAGAGCTGTGTATCACATACATCAGCATTTCCTATTAGCTGCTGAGTTACAGAAACATGAACATTGTATGTGTTACATTTATAATTATAAAAATGTATTGCAGAAAAGTACAAAGAAAATATCACTCACATTCCCATCAGTCAGTGATAACTTATCATTTTAGAGTAATTAGACAAAGCAAATAACACAGTTTTGAACAAGTGTCGTACCAAGAATGAAGAATTAGAGATAATAAACTATAGTTTCTTGCCCCCAGTAGCTCAGGAAGATTCAACTCTTTAAGGGAAAATCTGGGTCCTAACCATAGTGCTGATGATTGTTGGACAGGTGCTCATCACAGGATTGTGGAATGAAAGAAGGGAAGGGAGACATATTACTAACAAGAAACAGTAGAACATAGTAAAATGAAGTAGAGGTAAAAACCGAAGTGCTTTTTATGGAGAGTGATCAATTCTGCCTGAGGCCAGTGTTGGTCACATTTCAGCAGAGCCCTGAAAGCTAACATCTCTAAAAGGAGGAGGAAGTAGTTCCAGACAGAAGATACAACGTGAGCACCTGCAAAGAAGCTTGAGCACTCACGGTGCATTTTTGGAGAGAGGGTTTATTTTGGTGTGGCAAGTTTGGGAATACTTTGCAGACATCGTGGGAGTTAAAGCAGTAAAGGGATCTTAGGAGCATATTGACGGCCATTTGTTGAATGTATCACTGTCTGGTCTTGGAAACATAAAGCATAGAATTGAGATTAAAACAATGTTTTTCACAGTGTGATCTTGGACCTCTGGGAGACTCAGATTCTCTCAGGGAATCTGGGAGGTCAAAATTATTTTCATCATAATATTAATTTATTGTTTGCTTTCTAAACTTTCACTCTCTCAAAAGTGTACAGTGGAGTTTTCTAGAGGCTGCATGATGTGTGTTGTGTGATAACAGCATTGTTCTTATGGCTAAGGGAATGTGTGCTCTTATATTCTTGTGTTTTAATGTCTCCCTATAAATATCTAATATGGTAAATAAGTATAAAAATACAGATCTATCTATTTGTGTTGTGTGTGTGTGTGTGTGTGTGTGTGTGTGTGTGTGTGTATTCCACATAAAGCTATTTGGATTCTTCAATACTTTTTAAGAATGCAAAGGAATCCCAAGACCAAAAGTTTTCAGAACTGCTGGGTTGGAAACATGTGAATTCAAATACTGGACAGACTGCTTAGCCTGTCTGAGCTTTAGTTTGCCAGCTTCTTAAAATGTGTGTGTCTGTGGGGGTGTAGGAATAGTAATGGGAATAGCACGTGCCTCCCTGGCATTGCCTTGTTAGGACTGAAATCTTGGAAGTGTCCTCTTGTCTCCCATGCTGCCAGCCCTGTAAGGGTCTTTAAAGTCCCCCATACCAAAGAGGGCGAATGTTGCTGCTTTATGACATCTCCTTTTCTTATTAACTTCTTAAGATTCCTTAATCTTTATTTTAACAATGTGGCATGTGATGACAAATGTTAGGAAGAATTAGAAAGGGGAGGGTACCCTGAACTGCAGTTTTTCCCTACCTCTGCTTCTCCTCAGGAATGTCCCTTGAGGTGGGAAAGTTGTTTATCCTCCTCCTTCTCTTCTTCGCCATTGCAGTTTCGTCTTGTAAACATTTAGTGGCAAGACTCAGCTTTGGTCCTCAGCTCCCTGAAGTCTCCAGAGCCATCTCAACCCACACTTACTTCTCCTCTTCCTGAGCATTGGTCGCATTTTTTAGTTGTTTTCCCAGTAAAACACTTAACTAAACTTATTTCTCTCTCTTCCTATGTTTTTGGTGTGAGGGGAAGATCCTTTTGTTCCATTTTTGTATTTTCCCACAGCTCCTAACACTGTTCTGAGCACAAAATGAATGCTCGACTACTAGACATAATAAATTATTGCCATTTTTCATCCCAAGTGTAACAGAAAGCAATGCTTTTTCAGCCCATGGTCTCTTGATCTTTGGTTATTTGGCTTGGTGTCTTTCTTGAACATTTTCCCTTTGCTTGAATTTAATGAAAACCTTCCCTTGTGTTGTTATTTCAACATGTTGCCTACACTTTATTATTTCCTTGTATTTGGACTTCAGTGGGGACCCAATATAATTCCTATATAAAAGCAGCTTGGAACATTTCCGTGACTTTTATTTATCTTCCTGTCTTTTGATACCCTTGAATCCTAGTCTGGGAAAGTGATGTTAAGCCATGCAAAGCCTTTTAAAGGAAATCATATACTTTATTTCACCTGGCAAAGTTTGCCCTCACAGCCAGCAGCAGAGCAAGTTGGGACTGGATGAAGGAGTCCCCTGGAATGTACAATTTTGAAAGAATTAAAGCAATCCAATATCCTGGAGGCAGATCTAATGAACCATCTTTGCACTTAGTTCTTAAATGAAGCTTTTTACAAGAAAACAAAAGAACACTCATGAATTTAGGAAACTTTAAAACATGTATTTCTAGACATAGAAACTAGAATAGATAATATACTTGTGTTATCACTATGATTCTCATCCTAATGATGTAGGTTGATGTATTTTTGTAAAATAGATAATGTTTCAGTTTGTTGGGAACCTTGGACACATTTATAATCAAGGTAGACATTTAGGTGTCATCAAATTTTAATAGAGTAAATGGTATTTACAATTTTTCTTATCAAAATAACTTTTTTTGGTAATTGCATGCAAAATGTTACATGATTATTGTAAGAAATTAAAGCAATGCAGTAAAGCTCAAATACAAAACTATTGCTGATATCAACATATTCTAAACATCTTTCTCTGCATAGACTATTTTACGTAAACAAGGCTCTGTAACATACTTTTCTATTCAATAATATGTTAGAATATATTTCCTTGAGGCTAAATGTAGAACTACTTTATCATTTTTAAAAGGCAGCATAGTAGCCCATTCTATATATGTATCGTAATTTACTGATCCATTTCCCTTGATGTAGACTTCACTATTATGACTTTTTTGTAGATAAATACATTTATATTTATGACTATATCTCTTCAAGGTAAATTCTTAGGAGTAAGTTTCTAGGCTAAAGGATATGCAATATCAGATAATTTGATAAATAAATTGCCCCCTAGAATCTTACTTTTTTATCCTGCTTCTAACCTCTAATATATTAATCACATACTTGGTTACATGAAGAGATAGGTCAGACAGTGCTCACCTGGCTTATTCCAAGAGATCTCCTGAGATTCTCTGTGGGGTTTTTCATAATCCAGAAGCATGCTGGCTTTGCAAATTTGAATACTAGACCCTCTTCACTTTATCTGGAGTGATGCTGTTTCTTGAGGCTTGATTATTATACTATCTACAAACTGCCAAATTATTTATTAAAAATGGGGGCTGGTCCAGGTCACAGCCATAGAGTGGTGCCCTTACCTTTGGTTGCTTCAACATTCACTGACAAGCAAATATTTACCATCTTTTTTTTTTTTTTTTTGAGATGGAGTCTCTCTCTGTCGCCCAAGCTAGAGTGAAGTGGTGCTATCTCGGCTCACCGCAACCTCCGCCTCCTGGGTTCCTACCTCAACCTCCTGAGTAGCTGGGATTACAGGTGTGCGCCACCATGCCCGGCTACTTTTCACGTTTTTAGTAGAGACATGGTTTCACCATGTTGGTCAGGCTGGTCTCGAACTCCTGACCTCGTGATCCACCTGCCTTGGCTTCCCAAAGTGCTGGGATTGCAGGCGTGAGCCACTGCATCCGGCCTTATCATCATTTAATTGCAGCTTTTTGTTTCTTTGCTGTGACACAATATAAAAATATACCAAAGGTAAACACTAAAAAACTTTCCTGTTAAAAAATTCCATTATGTATACATGTATAGCATCTGTACAAAGTTATTATCTATGCCATCATATTCAAAATTTTATAGTAAACTTTTCCACCCTTAACCTTATTTACAATTTATAGTTACCTTATCTTAATTTAGATTATTGCAGTCCAAACAGCTCTATGTATACATATGCATATCCAAAATTTATAATAAACATGTGGCCTTCCATTATTTAAAAAATGAGGGATGAGGTATAATTTTCTCTTGATAGCATATCTTTTGTCCTCTTTTCTGCACATAATTTTTTGGAAATTGAGGGTATTTGGGAATCCAAACAATTCAATTGGTGGTTCCCTTGGTAATTGTAAAATTGGAGAAAAGAGGACAGGCTTGAGGGAAATTTATCTCCATCGTACAAGACAGTCTACCTTTTCAGGGCTTACATTTAGTGCAAAATCCATGAGTTTCTTTTTTGAACAGAACCAGATTTACACAATGAAAATTTTCTCCTTTCCTGCCTCTTTGCTGGGCACCAAGTGACATCCATTCTGTTAATACAGTTGTGATTTTTTTTTTTTTGGCTAGCTTAAAGCTGTAATTGGTTATATGTCAGTTCTGAGGCTGTGTGCTGTAGTCACTTGATGGAAACATAAGAAGTTACTAGTTTTAGAGGTTATACTAAAACATACATGTACATGCACACATACATGTACGAACAGATACACATTTATTTAATGTGATTAGTTTGGAAGAAATAACGTGTTTACATGTTGAAAAATTCAAAACAACAAAAAGATAGGTGGCATATATTTTCTCTTATCTTCATGCCACTGCCTACTCAGTTTCCTGTCCTGTAGACAACGAGTTTTACGACTTCCACAATGTTTAAGGGCTATTCTACTCTTAAACAAGTGAATATATATTTTTCTTTATATAGACAGTTGATCCTTCAACATCACTGGTTTGAACTGCGAGGGGGCACTGTATCTGATTTTTTTTTTTTTTTTTGCTGTGTCCAGGCTGGAGTGTAGTGGCATGATCATGGCTCGCTGCAGCCTTGAACTCCTGGCCTCAGGTGACTGTCCTGCCTCAGCTTCCTGAGTAGCTGGGATTACAGGCATAGGCACTGTGCCCAGCTCCACATGGATTTTTAAAAATGAATATATTGGAACTTTTTTTGGATATTTGCAACAATTTAAAAAAATACAGATACATTGCCCAGAAATATAAAAAAATCAAGAAAATATTATACATAGAATGAATGCATAAAAGATACGTATGTACTAGCCTATTTTATTAGTTAGTACAATAAAATATACACAAATCTATTACAAAAAGTTAAAATGTATCAAAACTTACGTATTCAAACACAGACTTGCAGTCAAGAGAAATGTAAACAAAAAGATACAGTATTAAATCATAACTGTGTAAAATTAACTGTAATACAGGCTGGGTGCAGTGGCTCATGCCTGTAATCCCAGCACTTTGGGAGGCCAAGGAGGGCGGATCACGAGGTCAGGAGTTCAAGACCAGCCTGGCCAACATGGTAAAACCCCATCTCTACTAAAAATACGAAAAAATTAGCCAGGTGTGGTGGTGGGTGCCTGTAATCCCAGCTACTCAGGAGGCGGAGGCAGAGAATTGCTTGAACCTGGGAGCCAGAGGTTACAGTGAGCTAAGATAGCACCACCGCACTCCAACCTGGGCGACAGAGCAAGACTCTTGTCTCAAAAAAAAAAAAAAATTAACTGTAGTACATACTGCACTGCTGCAATGATTTCATAGCCACCCCCTGTTGCTGTTGTGGTGAGCTCAAGTGTTGCATTTGTTTAAAATGCCATGTGATACTTATCTCCAAATGAGCAGTTGCTCTCTACATTAAATTACCCATCTCAGTAAAATGTGATCTCTTGAGCTGCTTGCATATTTCTTATCTTGTTTATTGCAGTACCATAAACTTTGAATAATATCATGGAACTCATAAGAAGTGCCACTAGGGATGCTGTGAGTACTACCAAGAAGCAGAGAAAACTCATGGCATTGCAAGAAAAAGTTGATTTGCTTGATATGTACCATAGGTTGAGGTCTGCAGCTGTGGTTGCTTGCCATTTCAATATAAATGAATCCAGCATTAGGACCACCATAAAAAAAGAAAAAGAAATTAATGAAACCACTGCCGTAGTTACACCAGCAGGTGAAAAAACCATATACTTTTTTTGTGAAATACCTTTTTACCTCGTATTGAAAATACAGGTCTTATGTGGGTGCAGGTTGCTATAAGAAAGGCATACCTATAGACTAATATGATTAGAGAATGAGCAGTTATTATACAATAATTTAAAGCAAAAGAAAGGTGAAATATCTAAAGCTGGGGAATTTAATGCCAGCAAAGGATAGTTTGATAACTTTAGAAAATAATTTGGTACAAAAAATACCAAAATAACAGGAGGAGCAGATTCTGCCAATCAAGAAGCTGCAAATGAGTTCCCAGACACAATTAAGGAAATAATTGAGAAGAAAGGATTGCTGCCTGAACAAATTTTTTAAGCAGATGAAAATGCCTTTGTTCTGAAAAGAAAAACGCCACAAAGGATGTTTATTAATAAAGAAGAGAAGCAAGCATCAGGATTTAAGGCAGGAAGGGATAGACCAACTCTGTTATTTTGTGCAAATGCAGCCAGGTTTATGATCAGGACAGCACTTGTCTATAAAGCTGCTAACCTCTGAGCCTGAAATGGAAAAGACAAACATCAGCTGCTATTCTTTTGGCTGTACAACATGAAGGCCTGGACAATGAGAATGTTTTTTTCTGAACTGGTTCCTTCAATACTTTGTCCTTGAAGTCAGGAAGCACCTTACCAGTAAGAGACTGCTTTTTAAAGTTCTTTTGATATTAGACAATGCCCCTGGCCCCACAGAATCTTATGATTTCAAGACTAAAGGCATCAAAGTGATCTACTTGCCCCCAAACACGACATCTTTAAATTAGCCTCTAGACAAGGGGGGTCATGAGGGCCTTTAAGGCTCATTACACATGGTACTGGTACTTTATGAAAAGGACCGTCAATGCTATGGAAAAGAATCAGAGTAGAGAGAACGTCATGAAAGCCTGGAAGGCTCACACCATTGAAGATGCCATCATTGTTATAGAAAAAGTCATGAGAGCCCTCAAACCTGAAACAATAAATTCCTGCTGAAGAAAACTGTGTCCACGTGTTGCACATGACTTCACAGGATCTACAACAGAGCCAATCAAGGAAATCATGAAAGAGACTGTGAACATGGCAAAAAAGGTGGGAATGGGGAAGAGGTGAAGGGTTTCAAGATATGAATTTTGGGGAAATTCAAGATGTGATAAACACTAAATCAGAGGAATGAACAGAAGATGACTTGATGAAGATGAGTGCTTTCAAACAGGTGACTGAGAAAGAAGACATAGAAGAAGCAGTGCCAGAAAACAAAGGGACGTTAGACAATAATGGACATTAGACAATCTGGCAGAAGCGTTCTGATTATTCAAGACTGCTTTTGACTTATTTTATGGCATAGACCTTTCTACACTATGGGCACTGAAACTAAAGCAAATATTGGAAGAGGGATTGGTACTGTTTGGAAACATTTTTAGAGAAAAGAAAGAGCAAAAAGTCCGACAGAAATTACAATATATTTCTGTGAAGTTACACCAAGTGTGCCCACCTCTCCTGACCTCCTGCCTCCCTTTCCACCTCCTCCACCTCTTTGGTCTCTGTCACCCCGAGACAGTAAGTCCAACCCTTTCTTTTCCTCCTCCTCAGCCTTCTCAATGTGAAGACGACACGAATGAAGACCCTTATGATAATTGACTTCCACTCAATAAATAGTAAGTATATTTTCTCTTTCTTATAATTTTCTTAATAACATTTTCTTTTCTCTAGCTTACTTTGTTGTAAGAATACAGTATGTAGTAACTCTTACATACAAAATGTGTGTTAATCAACTGTTTATGTTATCAGTAAGGCTTCTGGTCAACGGTAGAATATGAGTACTTAAGTTTTTTTGGGATCGACATTATACATGAATTTTTAACTGTGTGGCAGGTAGGCATCTCTAACCCCCATGTTGTTGCAGCGTAAACTTATTCTTTGAAATAGATATGTAATATTTAATAACTCAATATTTAAGAATATATATTATTTTATAGGCTTTTTTTACAAAAATGAGAGCATTTTATATGTACGAACTGCTTTGTACATTGCTTTTATACGTAACAATACATCCTAAAGATAGTTTTATCTCATTACCTAAAGAGTAACCTTGTCCATTTTCACAGATGCATAGTATTTCATTGCATGCATATTCCAAACTTTGAGCATTTAGGTTGGTTCCAGCAGTTTTTGTTACAAATAATGTAGCAGTTTTTCACCTTGTCCTTAGAACTCTGCACTGATGAGAAAATATCTATAGGATAAATTCCTATAGTTAGAATTATTGGGGCAGAGAATATTTACATCTGTAATCTTGACGAATATTGCCAAATGCTCTCCATAAAGCTACACTAAACCAGCGTAGGAGAGGACCATTTCCTCAGCCTCTTTCATCATCACAGTCTCAACTGTTTTTAGAAGTAGATTTTTAGAATAAGAGAATTGGTAGAGTTTCAGAGTCAGGCAGAGTTCTCAGTACTTTACACAGAGTGGGTGATTCAATTCCTCTAAGTTTCAGCTTTCTTATCTATAAAATACTAATTATAATACATCCCTTGTAGAATTTTTGTTAAGAACAAATGATCTTATATATAAAGATACATGAAATAAAGCAAGGGTAAATGCTAATTAATATTAGTGAAAAAGAGGAAAGTTTTTTTTTTCTACTTTTGAAATTTGTTCCCTAGTTCTTATGGGAGTTTGGTAGTTTTGGATTGTTTTGAATCTCTGTGCACTGACCGCAGGCAATGGCTCCTCCCTTCCCTCACACTGCTTAAGCCTTGCTGGCTTCCTTGCTATTCCTTGAATGTGCCAAGGACACTGTGCCTCAGGGCCTTTGCACTGCTGTTTCCTTTGTTTGCAGCTCTTTTCACCCAAGTATCTGGTTGGCTTACTTCTTCATCTCAGTTATGTCTCTACAAATGATTCCTCAGGGAGACCTTCCCAGATTCCCCAATTTTGCACCTATGACAAAAGCCCTCTGCTTCCTTCTTAGCTATATTTTCCTCCATAACCTTTGTTACCACCAAACATCATATATATATATACACACACACACTATATTACATATATACACATGCATTTTACATATAAGTGTGTGTGTGTGTGTGTGTGTGTGTGTGTGTAGATAGATATGCTTTTTTTTTTTTCTGATCTTGTTGCCTCTCTCCCTGGACAAAATGCAAGAGCAGAACTTATTCACTGCTGGATCACCAGTGTCTAGATCTAGGGCCTTGCATATTACAGGTATTCAGTACATTCAAATAATGAATTTGAAAGAGCAAATTACCAATTAATTGAAGAAGAGAAAAAATCCACTAAGCAAGGTTTATAACTAAAGAATGGCTGCCCTAAAATATTTGAATAATTTGTACTTGTACTCTGAGATATCATCATTCTCTTCACCTCCCTATTCACTGAAATGTAACTTCTAGAGATTTTCTACAAAATGGAAATAAAGGAAGTAACCTATTTTATATTATAGGACCATAAACAACACTAACAAAAAAAAATTATAAACAGCAATGGAATCAAGTATCTCAACCCTCTGTTAGCTCGTGGCATTTGCTGCTGTAATTTTTGATTCCTGTTTTTTTTTTCTTAGACCCAGGACTTGAAATGCACATAAAAGACAACTAAAGTGCCTACTGTTATTGGAATAGCAATAAGACAATTAGGTGACATGAATACAGCCTCACATGTCTTAGAATTGTCTGATTAGCTCTGACAGCTTCAGATGAGAGAAACAAAAAGGAGACACATATTCCTAAACAGTTATTAACTGAAGCACATGAGAGAGAGACTGTTCTCATCAGAACAACGATCTACTGAGGAGGCCCATGTGTCCTGGAGTGTGGTTGTTAGCACCATTTTCACTCTGCAGACTGTCAGGGCCCCGTCCTCATCAGCTGAAGTCTAGCCTGATAAGAGATAATCAGAAATAAACTGCAAACTTAAAGAGATTTGGTATCATTAAAAGGTGGCATAGACATGTGACGCCAAGACTTATTCCTGGGCTTTATTGCTGATGAAAACAACTTGCCAAAAATAGTTCCATTGTCGTGTAGTGAATCCATTTTCTTCATCTGCCAAGTAATGTTAAATGCACTCCTCTTTCACTAAACTTTGAACGCCCTTTCCCCTATATTGTTATTCTTGTATTCCAATATTGTCATAGTGAGAGTAGATTCTGGCTAATACTGGTTGGATGTTTGAGACATAGTCAGTTTCAACACATTGTTTTCCTGCAAACTGCACCGTGAGGCCGACTGCCATAAAATGAAATCAGACTAGCTATATGCTGTTGTCATGACTGACTTAGATTTCACGAGAAATTGTTAAATAAGCAGAGAAAGGTGACAAAAACTGATGAATAGTATGTTGGGGCTCAGTCAGGTGGGCAGGGGAAAGAGTACAAAATGGCAAAAAGTGAACATTACTAATTCCTCATTGAGTATCTACGTTAGATAACAGTGGTGAATGATTAGATGCTTTGTAATGTGGGTGATGCCCACCCTGAACAGGTAATCAAGTCTTTTCTTTGAACATGGCTCTTTTATTTCTGTTAGGGAAATAAAAAGTATCATCTTTTGGTACTGAAATGGCTAACATATAATAGCTGCTCAGAAAATGCTTTTTAGTACAGCTAGATCAGAAGAATAAGTTCTAGTGTTCTATAGCACTATATGGTGACTACAGTTAACAACAACTTCTTGTGTATTTTCAGATAGCTAGAAGAGTGGATTTTGAATGTTTCAACATAAAGAAATAATACATGTTTAAGGTGATGGATATGCTAATTACCCTGTTTGATCATTATACATCGTGTATGTGTATTGAAATATCACACGGTACCCCATAATTATGTAGTTATTATGCGTCAATTTAAAATAATAAAAACAAACAAATCAATCAATCCAAAAATGTTTTTTAATAGAAATAATAAAATCCTGCACAATCTTTAACCTTTTCTTAAAAGACTACTATCAAAATTTTCACACAAGCTTGGAAAATTACACTTTCATGATTTTATCTGTAATGAATGTAATCCAACTTCCTAAGCACTTCTGTGAGAAATTCACAAGTATAATTCAAAATTTCAATGTGCATCTAAAATCAGGTTTCTTTCTTTTTTTTTTTTTTTTTTTTTTTTGATTCAGAATCTCGCTCTGTAGCCCAGGCTGGAGTGCGGTGGCGCTATCTTGGCTCACTGCAAGCTCCGCCTCCCGGGTTCACGCCCTTCTCCTGCCTCAGCCTCCTGAGTAGCTGGGACTACAGGCACCCGCCACCACGCCTGGCTAATTTTTTGTATTTTTAGTAGAGACGGGGTTTCACCGTGGTCGCTATCTCCTGACTTCGTGATCTGCCCGCCTCGGCCTTCCAAAGTGCTGCAATTACAGGCGTGAGCCACCGCGCCCGGCCCTAAAATCAGGTTTCTAAAATTTAATTGTCTACATTCACTGTCATAGTTGGAGGAAAGCAAGATACTATTTTTCTTAAATTGATTTGGATATGCACAGTGATACAAGCCTAAGTAAGAGGTCAGGCAAATGAAGCTTAGATGGAATAGTAACACTACCTAACTTTTATGATTTATGGCTATGCCATGCACTGTGATAAATGCTTTAAAAATATTAGTTTGTTTAAACATCGTAACAATGGTTTGAAGTAGTTACTATGAATATTTCTGGTTTACAGATGAGGAAGTTGAAGCATAAAAGTAAGTAATGTGCTTGCCCTTAATGTCCGAGGTAGAACAATAGTTAGTGAGGCAGCTGACATTCAAACTTAGGCATCCTGACTCCAGATCCAGTGCTCCTAACAACCATGTATAGTGCACAAACACAATCAAATAGAAACACAGTTAATGACATGGAATGCTAATTAATGTGTTGTTACATTATTTCAAAGATCCAGATCATTTGGTCTTAGAAATTACACAGTAGTTTCACAATGGTAATTCAATATTTAAGGTAATTTTGATTTCACTGAGAGAAAATGTGTAGCATAAATACAGGTTTACTTCATTTAAGAAATTGTCTCATTGAAGTTGTAATTTCAGGAAAAAAAGGGCTAAAAGGATCACATGCTCATTATCAGTTCTTTGTTGAGATACACATGTTGCTAAATCATGGCCCTGTCTTTCAGTTGCTCCCCTCCTTTGTACCCCCAGAACTATTTTGTTAGTTGAGAATCTCTTACCTGGACTAGTCTGAAGCCTCCAAATGGTCCTCCCAAAACCCCAGTTTGTTCTCCACATTGCTGCAAGAAGTATCTTTACAAGCCAACTGACAAAAAACACTGTATTACTCTTTTCCTTATTAAGAACAATAATAATGTTTTTAGCCTTTTGGATTAATCATTGGCCCCCAATGATAATTGATGAAAGCTGTGGGCCCTCTCCCAGTAAAACTGACTTTATAATTACTCAATATTCTTTGGAGCTGCTTACCAGAGATTTCTAAAATTCCATCTTCAGCTTGCCTACTCATTTGATATCCCACCATATTTGTCCCTTCAAATACTCTGCGCTCAGGCTCATTAAACTTTGTATTGTTTCTCATTCTTGGAATATTCTCCAAGTACTTTTCTAAGTGAACTGTTAGTTGTCTGGAATGCTGTGCAGGAATAGAGGAAGACCTTATGATGTGGCTGTCTATGTCAAGGATTCAAACCTGTAAGTTTGGGGACATTATTAGCTGATTACAAACTCAATTTTGTCGTTGGTAAAATAATGTTGGTAACATTATTTCACAGAGTTTTCATAAAGATCAAATGAGATAACAAGTGAAAGGGCTTGGGGTACACCTCATAATAAATACATGTCTCCATCTTCAATTCCAGACCAGTTATCACCTCCTTTGTGAATCCTGACTTGCCCCTTGCTCCTCCACTCCCTAACCCAATCCCCCACTCCAGCAAGTGGATTTCAGGTTTTCCACTCTGTACTTCCACAGTACCCAAAGGTGATTCCTCTAAACTTGAAACATTTTTTAGCATTTATCTGTTTCTTGTCTGTTTCTTCATCTAGACCAGCAGGTCATAGGTCAGGCTGTAAATTTAAATCACCTGTGATGCTCTTTAAAGATCCATTTCCTTGGCCAATTGAATCAGAGTTTCTGATCTGGTATGCAGTGATGCTTTTTAAAGTTCCCCAGGTGGTTTTAATGTACAGGTGTAGACCATAGACAATAGACTCCTTGAGAGCAGGATTTTGCCAGTGAAGTTCCATTGCCGTTATGGAGCCTGGATGTTATGCAAGTGGCTGTAGAATGAATGAATGAATGTATGCATGATGGCCAGTATTGAATATACATTTGATAAACTTCAACCCATTTGATTATGAAAAGCAGCATTTAAATTTAACATATTGTTAATACATTTACATTTATACAATGGTAATCAATACCTAAACAGAAAAAGAAATGCTTTAAGCTTCCTTAAAATCTACATATTGCTTTAGAGAACTTCCTAGCTATGCATTTATGTAATTATTTTTCTTTCATTATTTTGGTTTCCAAAGTCATATTAGCTAGGTGGTTTTAACCTATGAATCTCTTAAATATCTTGAGCTGAAATTAGCAGTCCACTTGCCACTATAAAATTTCTCATTTTTGAACTGCTGTGTATAATCCTTTCCCTTCTAGCATTTGTCTTGTTGCCTTCCTTTCAAAGTGTGCATGTAGATTTATATTTAACCTGTGCTCTTTTTTTTTTTTTTTAGTAATCTATCAATAATTGTGTTTAGCTATAAAAATATACACAGTAGTTTGGGAAAAAAGAAAGCAAAGGACTAATGGCATTAAAAGCACAGCTCTAGTAATTTGTTGAAATTAACATTTTCCATAATGGCTGGTAGAGCTTCTTTTCTGAATGCTAAATGAAAGCTGCTATATTATAAAATGTTTCTTTTCATATAGTAAATAGTGTCAGAGCACCATGACTAGTAAAATCAGCTTTCTCATCTAAATGGGAAAGATTCGTAAGTTTATTTTCAGAATTTGATTTCGGAATGGCCTCTAGACACTAAAGCTGAATGGTGAGTAAGGAAAGCAGATTACTATCTTCTCTGATAAAGAGGATCACGACTTCATTACCTCAGGTCTAGTCAAAATTGAAATGTTATCAGCTTAATAGAAAGAAAGTCCATTACAAAAATGTCTCTGACTGTTGGGGGATCTTTGGACTAGAAATGCACAGGCTGGATATGTTTATTGAAATATAAATGGTTGATTCTGAGACTATATTTAATTTCTTTAAAATGTTATTTTCTCTTAGGTAATCAGCTCTGATACAGGGTCTACTGTTTCCTTCTGGATGATAGACACTGGGCAGAAAATCAAACAGTTTACTGGTTGCCACGGCAACGCAGAAATCAGCACTATGGCCCTTGATGCAAATGAGACTCGGCTTTTGACTGGCAGCACAGATGGGACTGTAAAGGTGCGAACACAATGATGCTTTTCTATCCAGATATGAGGAGACTAAAATACTATGCCAGAAGACATGGCTATAGATATTCTCATTTTTTGCCTTTTTGGTATTGCAAGAAGAGAAATGAGACATGGTAAGAGTGAAATAACTCCAACCATCTAATAAAGCTGCTAGGAAAATAAACCTCTGTGGAAAAATGAATAAATAATTTTTCTGAATAAATTATTTAGAATGAAAATATAACTTGGCTTACTCATTTCAGAAAGCCCCCTTTTCAGTGTAGTCAATAGGGACTACTTTGGGGAATACGATGCCTCGATAATTTCATGTGCTTTGGCTAATGTCTCTAGTTTTCTTTTTAAAAGTTGATTAAATGAGAAATCAGGAACACTTAACTAAACTTTAAAAAATGGCATAGATGCAAATTTTTCAAGAAATAAATATTTAAAAGTAAACCTATTTTGTAATCTTAATTTTTGTTATGTGAAATTCAGACAGTAGAAAGAATAATCATAATCTTATCCATTCTAAACTTACATGATTTTATATTTCTAAGTTTCTTATTCTATAATTATCATATATTTCTTCTGGGAGGAAGGTGCTAATTTCCTTTTCAAAATGGTCAACTTTTCATGAAAAACTAGATACTTGATATCTGAAGTCATGCCCACCAGTGAATCTTCTCTGCCCCCCTCAGCCCCAAGAGTAATGAGTCTTTGATTGGAAATGGCTTGTGCCATTTTGAGGCAATAGAAGGTAATTCCCTGAATAAACTTTGAATGTTTCTCAAACCTGCTATAACTGGGTATTAGACTACCTTCCATGGTGTAGTGTATGATACACTCAGTTAAGCTGTAGGGGAGAGTGATGGAAAGCTACCTGGATATGTAGGTAGAACATCCTAGAAGTTTAGGTATTCAGGGAGATTACAGGCTGGCAGTCATTAGTGTGAGGAAGGTGCTATTGTGGGTTGAAAAGGGAATCTCTGGAAATCAGTAGAAGTTGGCCTATGAGAAGGTTAATGGAATAAGGTATGGACTGGAGATTTGGGTTTAAGTAAAGTAATCTAGTTTACAGGAGAGCTGATAAGATGTGTGAAGGTACCAGGACAACCATAATCCCAATAATTGAGGTGAAATAAAAGGGAAATAACTGGACCTGGAGTATTAGACAGTGGTTCAGGCAAATAGTAAAAGCCAGTATCTCGCTTACCAGTCCTGGGGTGTGAGAATGCACTGAACATTGGAGTGAACGGATTAGGTTCTATTTACCTCTATCTTGGAAAGTAACTGGGTATAGAATCTAGGGTAAGGCTTACCTTGTAGATTCTGCTAAAATATTCCCAGCTAAGGGACTTAGTCGGACCTGGGGACATTCAGATCTTTGCAATACCTACTTGTGGAAATTATTTAAGGTGGACTTGGTAAGAGCCATGTTTAGAGGAAAACATAGCGACATGGATGAAGAGTATGTGTGCACCTCAAGTCTCAACTGAAGCGTTGACATCTTAGAAGTTAATGTGAATTTAGTAGTATAATAACTGCTTCTGAAGGTGCATTTATATTTATCACAAGAGCACAACAGAATTCTGAAGTCTGGCAACTTCTGTGTAGGATACATAAATCAGGGTTGAGTTTCTCTGACCATATTCTATGAAGAAACAAGAATGAATGACATTTTCCAATCTAATTTATAAATTTAGAATCCAAATTCAGTACCTACATAATCAAAGACTTAAAATTATTAACTCATTCATTATGGCTTTGAACGGTCTATTTTTAAATTAATTAATGTTTTGAATAATTAATGTGTGCATAAAATAAAATTTTTGAAATATAAAATGGATATATAGTGAAAATATATCATCCCTGTTTCCAGCTCCTTCTCTGAGGCTACCACTGTTACTGTTTTCTTGTGCACCTTTCTAGCCACAAACACCATTTGTTTGTTTATTTTCGTTCAATCATTCTTGTTTGTTTGTTTTTAGAGACAGGGTCTCACTGTGTTCCTGGGTTGGTTTCAAACTCCTAGGTTCAAATGATCCTACTGCCTCAGCCTCCTCCTGAGTAGCTGGGATTACAAACACGTGCCACTGTGCCTGGCCATTTGTTTCTTGATGGCAGCCTACTATACATGCTGTTCTGCATTTGCATTTTTCTGTCTTGGATATTGACTCATATAAATGGATACAATAATAATAATGTTAGCTAACATTTATTCCATGCTCACTATGAACCAGGCACTATTCTGAGCATTTCACACACACATATATGTATATCTATAAGGTTGGTACTCTTATCCTGATTTTTTTTTTTTTTTTGAGACGGAGTCTCGCTCTGTTGCCCAGGCTGCAGTGCAGTGGCACGATCTCAGCTCACTGCAAGCTCTGCCTCCCAGGTTCACACCATTCTCCTGCCTCAGCCTCCCGAGTAGCTGGGACTACAGGCGCCTGCCACCACGCCCGGCTAATTTTTTGTATTTTTAGTAGGGGAAACTGAAGCCCAAGGAGTTAAGGCAACTTGCTCAAGCTTCCATAGGCAGTTGAGTTTTGGCAGAGTCTAGGAAAATGGAGATGACTCATTCTTCTTTATGGCTACATTATATGCTACTGCATAGATAGTCCTTATTCTGATTGTTCAATTTCTTACTTACTAATGAGCAATTGCATTGATTCAAATCTTTTGCTTTTTAACAATGCTGCAAGAATATGCTTGAAAATATGTCATTTTACATATATGAATATATCTGTGGATGATTTTCTAGAAGCTGAATTTTTAAGCCAAATTTTAAGCCAATTTTTAATCATCTGTGAGATGACTTTCTAGAAGCTAAATTTTTAAAGGGTATATGCCTTTTAATAATAATAATTATTTTTTGAGACAGAGTCTTGCTCTGTTGCCCAGGCTGGAGTGCAGTGGGATGATCCTGTCTCACTGCAACCGCTGCCTCTCAGGTTCAAGTGATTCTCCGCTCTTAGCCTTCCGAGTAGCTGTGGTTACAGGTGTGCACCACCATGCTCGGCTAATTTTTTTGTTTGTTTGTTTGTTTGAGATGGAGTCTCACTCTGTCACTCAGGCTAGAGTGCAGTGGCATGATCTCAGCTCACTGCAACCTCCACCTTCTGGGTTCAAGCTATTCTCCTGCTTCAGCCTCCCGAGTAGCTGGGACTACAGGTGCATGCCACCATGCCTGGCTAATTTTTATATTTTTAGTAGAGATGGGGTTTCACCATATTGGCCAGGCTGGTCTCAAACTCCTGACCTTGTGATCCGCCCGCCTCAGCCTCCCAAAGTGTTGGGATTACAGCCATGAGCCACTGAATCCGGCCCTGCCTAATTTTTGTAATTTTAGTGGAGACAGGGTTTCACCATGTTGGCCAGGCTGGTCTCAAACTCCTGACCTCAAGTGATCTGCCTGCCTCAGCCTCCCAAAAAGCTGTAATTACAGGCATGAGCCACGGTGCCTGGCCTGCATTTTAATTTTGATAGCACCAATGTGACCTCTATGCATGATGTGCCAACAAGGTTTCATAGTAGGGCTTAGTTTTAACTGCTACTAATCTAATGATGCTCTCTCTTAAAGTATGCCTATTGGGCTTAAGTTTTCACTCCACTGTCTAAGTAGGTTAACCAGAACTGCTTGTGCCCTCTTGAGGACTGGGTCTGGCACCCACCATCAACAGGAGGTTTTATCGGTAGAGGATGAGAAATCTAGTAAATGATGACTGTTTCAGGTTCTGTATCAGCTGTTTAATCCTCCAAGCATCCCTGAGGAGTAAAGTTCCTGTATCACAGATAAGGAAGCAGAAATTTAGACATAGTGAAAACTTCAGGATGTCAACAGATTCCAAAATCGTTTTCTTCATGATTTTTTATTGTCTCTCCATTTAGTATACATATTAACTTACAGTATTTGAAGAACTATTATTAGAATAGATTGATAGAGTTACAAGTAGAGTCATAAACTGTCTAGCAACATTTCAGTTAACAACAGACTGCATATACGATGGTGGTCCCTTAAGATTATAATGCTATATTTCTACTGTACCTTTTCTATGTTTAGATACGCAAATACTTACCATTGTGTTACAGTTGTTGACAGTATTCAGTACAGTAACATGCTGTACAGTTTTGTAGCCTAGGAGCAATAGGCTATACCATATAGTCTAGGTGTGTAGTAGACTGTATCATTTAGGTTTGTATAAGTACACTGTATGATAGTGGCACAATGATAAAATCACCCAGTGATGCATTTCTCAGAATGTATCCTGTTATTAAGTGATGGGTGACTTTATATAGGAAAAAAATCAGTTTCTCCTACCATCACACTGAATGCAATACACACCTCTGGCCACCAAAATGTGTGTAGGGATTTTTCCCACACACCAATTCTGTGGTAGATTTTACAGAGGACACCAGTTGGGTGTCCTCCAATTCAATTCTATTCTGACACTGTCTACTTGGAGATAGAGTCAGATCCTCTAGGTTGAGGGCTCAGTCCCACAAGTCTGCTTCTTCCTTTAGATGCCAGTCACAAGCATATGTTGTAACTTGTGCTTCTGACTGACGGGCTGTAAATCAGCATTCTTGTGACCCTCTCCTTGGATCTGATTAATTTGCTAGAGTGGCTTACGGAACTCAGGGAAACACTTGACTTACATGTATTCATTAATTATAAATGATATTACAAAGGATACAGATGAACAGATGGAAGAGATGCATAATGCAAGGCATGTGGACTCAGCCCTTCCATTGTGGGCTTTTCACCCACCAGCAACCTCCACGTATGTTCAGCTGTCTAGAATCTCTTCAACTCCCATACTTTTGGGTTTTTATGGAGGCTCCATT
This sequence comes from Homo sapiens, assembly GCF_000001405.40. NCBI lineage: Eukaryota > Metazoa > Chordata > Mammalia > Primates > Hominidae > Homo > Homo sapiens. Next base: position 167,555,225 of record NC_000003.12, on the reverse strand, counting down.
ACACAGGGTTGATTGACTCCATCACTGACCACTGGAGATGAACTCAACTTTAAACTTCTCTCTGCTCCCTAGGGGTTTCAGGGTGGGGCTGAAATTTCCACCTTCTAATTATGCCTTGGCGTTTCTTGAGAACAGCCTCCACCCTGAAGCTATTTAGGGCTCCCCAGCCTGGAGTCATGTCATTAGCATACTAAATACTATCTTATCATTAGAGAAAGAGTCTGAGGATTTTAAAAGTTATTGTGCCGAGAAATGGGGATGAAGACCAACTAGATATTTCACAATATTACAAGAGTAATATAGTGGCAAAATTCAATGATGAGTTGATTTTCTTTAATGATTACATATCCTAAATGAATTAATCCTGGTTCAGAATATAAAAAGTTTACCTTCCTGTCTCAAAGTGGTTTTAATTTTTCTCTTAAAGATATGGGACTTCAATGGATATTGTCACCATACACTAAATGTTGGGCAAGATGGAGCTGTGGATATTTCACAAATCCTCATTCTTAAGAAGAAAATACTGGTTACAGGCTGGGAGAGGTATGATTATGCCTCATGGAAAACTATAGGAAGGTAAAAAGGAGAATGTTTTTATTTTAATCAAAATCTAAAAGAAAAAAGAACATAAAAATCTTGGTTGACTCTGTGTCATTAAAACTTGCTGGTGACCTAGGTGAGTGATACCCTAGTTGGAATTGACTGAATGCTTAGTGAATAAAATATTAGAAGACCGCATAGCTTGAGTGGCTTTGAGAATTGTTAGGTTTTCTTCTGGCTTTGGAAATTTTTCTTTCTTTAACCATTTCAGATGGGGATGTATTACCACTTCCTAGGTTCCAAAAGTTTCCCAAATTTTATAGTCAATCAATTCTTAACTTGTAAATTACATTCCTTCAACTGTAAAGGAAACTCATTACTTCTTTTCTCATGACTTATTTTCAATTGCAACACAAGAGGGAAATAGCCAACTGAGTCCTGTGATAGCTCCTCCTTTCTATCAGTGCAGAAAATGTCTTTCGAAAGGCACTTACTCTTCTCGAGGAGCATTTCTTCCATTTCATTAGAAGGAAAATTACTTTTCCTTCCTTTTTTTTTCCTGACAGAACTAAGGATCATAAACAGTTCTGTGGCACTGTAGAAGCAGTAGGAAAATTAAAGTGTGATATGTTTTGAAAATATATTGTCCATTAATTCATCAGTTTACAAAATATTGCTCTAATAGGTAGTCGTCCAACGTTATTCACTATAGAATTATGACCTTAATGCTTTGAAGCTCGGATTAAATCAGATTTTATACCTAGAAAACCAGCAGTATATATTTGGGGATTTTTATCAATCACAGGGAAGAGTTTTTTCTAATGCAAATGTGCAAATGCAGACCAGCAAACAGTGCCACACACTGCCCTATTTTTAGGAGTAATTTGACAATAAGAAAGTAAGTATAGCCAGATTATTCTACTTGATATTAAGAACTAATTCAATCATCCTCATCTGTGAAGGACAAGACTTCACATCTCTGAAAGGATTCATGATCCATTATCAACCCACAACCACTCCACAGTCTATGATCTAATGATCGCTATACTTAGAAAATGGCAATGAATAAGTTTAGCTCTCTACCATGTGTGGTGTCCAGCTGATCCAATTTAAGTTTTAAACATAACAAAAAGGAATTTTTTAAAATAATCAATTCAAGTCAAAACTTGGCAATGCCATTTCCTTAATTTATTTTTAGATATCCATAGTTAGGAATTAACATCAACTGTAAGATTTTTTTGATTGCTTACAAGGGAAAATTAGAAAGATTAGATGTAGAGTCACCTAAAAGTGGTTTAAAGGAACATCTATTATTCTATCTATGTTGGTGGGTGGTACTTTCTATAATTTGGGGAAGAAGCTTTGGAAAAACTGGTATGAGAGTAGGAAAAATTATCACTTTTTCCATCTTCCTTCATGTTTTCCGTTATCCTCAAGGTTGTCAGGACTTGGATACCTTAGCTGAAATTGAAAATTGAATTAATACATTCTGTTATATTATTTCACTTTATATTGGTGGATTTAAAAATTATATATTCTAAATCAGAGGCTTTATGTTAAGATAGATTTTACAGGATCTAAGACAGGATTCTTTTTACCAGGAGGCATTTAACAAAAGAGGCAAGAGGGCAGGAAACTGTTCAGTTATAGTTACAGGAGGATGGACCGTTAAGCCAACTCCTTAATAGTTTAGTGATTAGAGAAGAAATAACTGGAAGATTGACAGTCGTCTTACTAAGCTTTCTTCAATACCTTGTTTTAGAGTCCATTAGGTTAAGTTGTAACTTTTACTTCAGATTTTATCCAAATACAGAGATTGGTTCGATAATTATGTGCAGGATGGGATGGTAATTACATTTTTGAGTAAAGTACTTAAATATGCCATCTGATTTATTTTATTTACAGTGCTGTGTAGCATTAGCCACTTTATACACGTTATCTAATTTAATCCTTAGCATCATCTCGGAAGGTAGGCAATATTTTATAGATAACTCAAATATCTGTCTTCAGGTCTTATCTCTCTAAGCTCAGTTATCCATTTGCTTGCTGTACGTGTCTGACTGCAATCTCAAATTCAACATGTTCTCAACTGAAATAATTATTTATCTCCTTTCCAAAACGTGCTTTTTCTCTTTTGTTTGGAACTTCAATTAATTGCCAGAGACCCAGTCATCCACTCTGGTTCTCCCTCTTCACACACAACAAGAAGTCACTAAGTCATATCTGTTTTATGCCCTAAACATTTCTTAAACCTGCTCCTATAAATTGTACAACAGTATTAGTATAATTCAGAGCATAATTTCCACTTGGATGAATGCCACAGCCTTCTAACTTGTGCTTTGTCCTCCTAATGCCCACCTCTCACTTCTTAAATAGATTCTGCTCACTTTAGCTACAGGGATTTCTTTCTCCAATGAATTCTATGTTATGTCCTTGCTTAAAACCTTTCAGAGTGTCTATGTTATGTGCTTGCTTAAAACCTTTCAGAGTGTCTAAGCTCCCTCTGACCTGGACATATTCTTTTATTTTCTAGTTTCATTTTCTCCCATTTTCTGTATATTCTAAACTCTATCAAATAGCAGCTTGCTTAGGGTGTTCACATACAAGCCGTACTGTTTCACACCCTTATGGCTTTATTCTCTCCTCTTATCTAGAAATCCCTCTCAAAATTTTTTCATTTGGCTAACATTTATTCCTATTTGAAGACTTGTTCAGATATCTTCTCTGCCAGGACATTTCTCTTAACTCTCAGTATAGAGACAAAATGTCCCCATTTTGTCTTTGTGCTCTCTAGTTTCTTACATTTTCTTTAATAGGGATATTTGTGTATGTGTGCATTCCTGGAGCTTACTAGATACTTGGTGATATTTGTTGAGTGACTTAATAAATGTTAGTTGAATAGACAGGGAAACTAAGGATTAGAGAGATTAATTACTCACAGTCACATTCTTAGTGAGAGGCAAGCAGCATAGATATGAAAATCTATTATATTCTCTCTTCACAATGAATCAGAAATCTAAGTATTAGCAACCTTATTTTACAAGGGAGGCTACCGAAGCTTGAAGAAGTTGGGTAGCTCAGCCAAGGTGACAAAGTTAGTAGGCCGCTGAGTTAGAATTCTGTGCCAAAGTCAATACTCTTTCTACCACTCCTGGGTAGGACTAATTGCAAATGGAGTCATCACACCATGAGACAGCAATTATATATTTTAAACTAAATGATTAATTGAATATTTTGTCATTTTAATTGAAGCTAATGAATCAGTACATATGAAGAAACACACAAAAAAACATGTGGTAGCAACTTAACAACAACTCAGATATATAGCTTACTCTCTTTTTTTCCCCTTTCCTTCCCATATATATTTTTTAATTGCACCTAGGTTGAAAGCCCTGAGTTAGAAACTACAGTATACTGAATGTAAAGAATCATGATTCCTGTTTCAAGGGCATCCACTTGTTTATGGATGGCAGGCAGGTCAATACATAAAAGGCAGAATATGGTAAATATGAATGTTTGGGTCTAAGCAAAATGAACTAGAGAGCACATGTTAGCTATTTGGGAATACAGTCATTCATATCTAGAGAATTTTTCTGTCAGTAAAAAGAAGTCCCAAATTTAGAAGTATAGAAATGTGTTTCTCATTATTTTAAGCAAAATATACTTAGAAACTAAGTTGTGAATTGGCATAGAGTCAATTCACAAATACCTGGTTGAATCTGTGGCCATATTTATGTTGCTAAAATTAAATGACTAGATAATCAGTTAACTTTGCATTTGTTCAAAGTAGGCATATAATATGTATAGTTCTAGTAAAATTAAATAAATTAAGAATTTAAGATTTTATCCTGCCTCCAAAATCTATGATTTTATAATATATTTAAAGCTCTCTCTCTCTCTCTCTCTCAAAAAAAAAAAAAAACCTCCTAGTTCCCCTGATTTTAATTTTCTCTTTTCTATAAAGGAGAAATCTCTGTGTTTTTCCCTCTAGCTTTATCCAGGAATAACTGACAAATAAAAATTGTATATATTTACAGTATACAAGGTGATGTCTTGATATTTGTATACATCTTGAAATGATTAAATCAAACTAATTAACATATCCATCACCGTATATATTTATTGCTTTCTTTTGTGAGAAATTTGTTTATGAAGGTTTTATCTCCTTAAAAGTCTAGACATGCACACATAAGAAAAAGAGAATCTTTTGAGTGAACTCCCATTCACCATTGCTTCAAAGAGAATAAAATACCTAGGAATCCAACTTACAAGGGATGTGAAGGACCTCTTCAAGGAGAACTACAAACCACTGCTCAACAAAATAAAAGAGGACACAAACAAATGGAAGAACATTCCATGCTCATGGATAGGAAGAATCAATATTGTGAAAATGGCCATACTGCCCAAGGTAATTTACAGATTCAATGCCCTCCCCAGCAAGCTACCAATGACTTTCTTCACAGAATTGGAAAAAACTACTTTAAAGTTCATATGGAACCAAAAAAGAGCCTGCATTGCCAAGACAATCCTAAGCCAAAAGAACAAAGCTGGAGGCATCACACTACCTGACTTCAAACTATACTACAAGGCTACAGTAACCAAAGCAGCATGGTACTGGTACCAAAACAGAGATATAGACCAATGGGACAGAATAGAGCCCTCAGAAATAATACCACACATCTACAACCATCTGATCTTTGTCAAACCTGACAAAAACATGAAATGGGGAAAGGATTTCCTATTTAATAAATGGTGCTGGGAAAACTGGCTAGCCATATGTAGAAAGCTGAAACTGGATCCCTTCCTTACACCTTATACAAAAATTAATTCAAGATGGATTAAAGACTTAAATGTTAGACCTAAAACCGTAAACATCCTGGAAGAAAACCTGGGCAATACCATTCAGGACATAGGCATGAGCAAGGACTTCATGACTAAAACACCAAAAGCAATGGCAACAAAAGCCAAAATTGACAAATGGGATCTAATTAAACTAAAGAGCTTCTGCATAGCAAAAGAAACTACCATCAGAGTGAACAGGCAACCTACAGAATGGGAGAAAATTTTTACAATCTACCCATCTGACAAAGGGCTAATATCCAGAATCTACGAAGAACTTAAACAAATTTACAAGAAAAAATCAAATAACCCCAGGAAAAAGCGGGTGAAGGATATGAATAGACACTTCTCAAAAGAAGACATTTATGCAGCCAACAGACACATGAAAAAATGCTCATCATTGCTGTCCATCGGATAAATGCAAATCAAAACCACAATGAGATACCATCTCACACCAGTTAGAATGGCTATCGTTAAAAAGTCAGGAAACAACAGGTGCTGGAGAGGATGTGGAGAAATAGGAACACTTTTACACTGTTGGTGGGACTGTAAACTAGTTCAACCATTGTGGAAGAGAGTGTGGCGATTCCTCAAGGATCTAGAACTAGAAATACCATTTGACCCAGCCATCCCATTACTGGGCATATACCCAGTGGATTATAAATCATGCTGCTATAAAGACACATGCGCACGTATGTTTATTGTGGCACTATTCACAATAGCAAAGACTTGGAACCAACCCAAATGTCCATCAATGATAGACTGGATTAAGAAAATGTGGCACATATACACCATGCAATATTATGCAGCCATAAAAAAGGATGAGTTCATGTCCTTTGTAGGTACATGGATGAAGCTGGAAACCATCATTCTGAGCAAACTATTGCAAGGACGGAAAACCAAACACTGCATGTTCTCACTCATAGGTGGGAATTGAACAATGAGAACACTTGGACACAGGGTGGGGAACATCACACACTGGGGCCTGTTGTGGGGTGGAGGGAGAGGGGAGGGATAGCATTAGGAGATATACCTAATGTAAATGATGAGTTAATGGGTGCAGCACACCAACATGGCACATGTATACATATGTAACAAACCTGCACGTTGTGCACATGTACCATGGAACTTAAAGTATAATAATAATTAAAATAAAATAAAATAAATATCATTGCAACTTGAGTTACATCTTTTCCCTGTGAGCCTGTAAAGATAAGATGCTGGTATCATACCTGAGCTCAATTAACATTTTTATAGTGTGTAGATATGATTGATATTAATACATTATAATAAAATAGACTACTTAAGAGTTAGCGACAAACTGTTGAGATGGTGGTATTGATGAAATATCTCTGCCCATTGCAGGAGAGTTGCAGCAATCCACTCATATAGTGATTACCCCTTGTGACAAAAGAAAATATCTTCATATTTCTTCATTTTAAGTCAAACCATAAATGTAGGCAGAGATGTTTTTAACTAACATGACTATGATAATCTATGTGCCATTATCTAATTGCTCACAGAAATCAAACTGTACAAGTGCCGAGGAATCTGAATCCAGTCTTGAGCTGTCAGTGGAGAATGTCAGTTATTTCAGTAAATTGCCCCCTTAGTGTCATCCTGTATAATTCTTTAATTTTAGGCCTAAAAATCTATGAAAGAAATTTTGTGTAAAATGTACCAAAAGAACTGTCCCATTTAAAACATTTTATGCCATGCTTGGAAATGAAAATGGACCCTACAAGTAAGTCTGTAAGTTGTTTTATCAAAGTATTCAGATGGAATGGTAACAACTTGGCTTGTGTGTTCTCTAAAAAATTATCACATTTTCAAATTATGCATTTAATCTGTATTAACATATGGAAGTTTTGATGTAGTTTCCTTTCTCAGTCAACTCCAAAGAGTCAAAAGTGATTATCAAAGTTGAAAAGGCTTTTTGTATTTTCTTCAAATGTTAAAGCCATGTAAGTGAACAGCAAGGCTGATGAATTTGCTGTTTTATTTCATTGACATCTTAATTCAAAATGTAAACTGAAGTTTCTTTTCATTTCTTTGCACTGTTAATATTATTCTGTTTTTGGTTAGCTTGGGTAAAAACTGTTCACTGGTGTCATTTTTTATAATTAGCCTTTTATATCTTGGGTTTTTTGGTAAGCAAATAAATATTTTAAATGTAAAAAAAAAAAAAAAGAAAATCTTGTCTCCTAGAATAGGGACAGTTTCATTTCTTCCTTTTCAATTTCAGTATCTGTTGTTTCCTTTCCTTGCTTCTTTGAAATTGTAAAGATTTTTGCACAATGTTAAATAGGGCTGGTGAGAGTGAACATCTTTGTCTTGGTCATGATCTTAATGAGAAGTATTCTATCTTTCAATATTAAACATGACGTTAGATGTGGGTTGTATGTAGCTGCCATTTATCACATAAAAGATTTTTTTCTATTCATAAAAAAACAGAATCTTTCATATAATTTTAAATGATTCTGACAATTTTATTTATATTAGCATCCTTCATAGAGCACTGTAGAAAGTAGGAACTCAATAAATAGCTATTGATATAATTTGATTTTTGAAAGTATTTTTAAGTGAAATGAGACTAAAGATTTGAAGTTACTCAAAAATAAAACTTATATATCACAAGATATTACATTCTTAATAATTGCCTTACTAAGAAACTATAACTCTGTATGACTCAATTGGTTTCCATTATTAGGATAAGAATCAGAATGGAATATTCCAATGTTGCAATTTATTTTAGAATAGCCATATTGGAGGGAAAGAGGGGGCAGGTATTTTTGAAATTCACAAATAATTCTTACATACAATTTATATTTATTCTAGTATTCAAAATTTGACTCTACAAATTTTGGGAAAATAGGAAAAAGACTAAAAATAAGCTGAATTATATCAAACTAATTCTCTGCCTTTGAGATACCCTTTTTAAGCCTAAAAAGCAATGAATTGAAGAACAGGCATTAACAAGACATGACAATAGGACTAACAACAATTAACTTCTGAGGGAACAAGTAGTTAATTGAATTCTTGTGTTCTCTCCATGACAATTTTTACATGATAAGTTTGGGTTAAAAAGTTATTTGCCTAGCTCATTCATCCTAGAAAAAAGGTGGTTTTAAATATTTTTCTTTTTTTTTTTTTTTGCACTTGACAGGTAAACTAATTTTGTTCTCACATAATTGGTTGTCATATCTAAATTCTAAATTAGAGACGTGATTCATTTTCACAAGATGACACAATCATTCAGTAGCAGTAGTTGTGATACTCTCAGGGTGGCAAATGTGGAGTGTGTAATGGAACTAGTAAACTCCTTCAGTGCCAGGAAAACAAGTCTCTCAGACTCCTAAAATGGCCTTAAAATTGGCTCATTCTGAACTTTAATTTTACTTGGCAAAAGTATAAACTTAAAAACAGTTATCTTTGAAATAGAGAAAGTAAGAGCTGCAGTGTAGATTCTCAAATTATTTTAAGGACAACTGTCATTTCAAATGAAAGTTTCAGGTTAGGTTTTGAGGGGAAAGTGGTAGCTAACTAGTTTTTCAACATTTTGACACACAAGGTCAAATATCAGAAAGACTATTTTTTATGTCATGTTATAAGAAAGATTTTGTGCTTTTGGTGTTAATTCTCTGACTATACCTAGTATGTCAATTTAATATGAGTATCTTGGCAAAAAGACATTAGATGTTGAATTTTGGCTGAGAGATAATGCAAAATATGTAAGATTGACCTTCTCTCTCCCACTGCCACCTCACTGTCTCCCTCCTCAAAGGGTAATCTTTCAACCAAACTTACCAGTAGGAAAAGAGAAAATCAAAAATACATACACATAAAGTTACTATGAGATTAAACTGCAATTTCGGAACTTCAAATTACCTTATTTGTCTTACCTTATCTTGTGAAGCCTTTTTAATATTATTAAAATAATATATTAATATTACAATTATTTATTTATTTGCTTTTTATTTTTTATTTCAATAGTTTTGGGGGTACAGGTGGTGTTTGGTTGCAAGGAAAAGTTATTTAGTGGTGATTTCTGAGATTTTGGTGTACCCATCACACAAGCAGTGTTCACTGTTCCCAATGTGCAGTCTTTTATCCCTCACTCCCCTTCCACCCTTCCCCGCAAGTACCCAAAGTCCATTATATCATTCTCATGCCTTTGTATCCTCATAGCTTAGCTTCCACTTATAAGTGAGAACATACAATGTTTGATTTTTCCATTCCTGAGTTACTTCACTTAGAATAATGGTCTCTAACTCCATCCTGGTTGCTATGAATGTCATTATTTCAGTGGTATTCCAGGGTGCATATATATATATATAATATATAATATATAATATATATATGGTACATTTTCTTTATCCACTTATTGATTGACGGGCATTTGGGCTGGTTCCATATTTTTGCAGTTATGAATTGTGCTGCTATAAACATGCGTGTGCATCTGTCTTTTTCATATAATGACTTCTTTTTGTCTGGGGAGATACCCCATAGTGGGATTGCTGGATCAAATGGTATATCTAGTTTTAGTTCTTTAAGAAGTTTCCATACTGTTTTCCATAGTATTGTTCTAGTTTACATTACCACCAGCAGTTTAAAAGGGCTGCCTTTTCACCACGTCCATGCCAACATGTATTATATTTTGCTTTTTGATTATGACCATTCTTGCAGGAGTAAGGTGGTATCTCATTGCTGTTTTGATTTGCATTTCCCTGATAATGAGTGATGTTGAGCATTTTTTCATATGTTTGTTGGCCATTTGTATATGTTCTTTTAAAAATTTTCTATTTATGTCCTTTGACTATATTTGGTGGGATTATTTGTAATTTTTTTTTCTTGCTGATTTGTTTGAGTTCTTGTAGATTCTGGAAATTAATTCTTTGTTGAATGCATGGTTTGCGAAGATTTTCTCCCACTCTATGGATTGTCTGTTTACTCTGCTGATAATGTCTTTTGCTGTGCAGAAGCTGCTTAGTTTAATTAGGTCCCATCTATTTATTTATTTTTGTTTTGTTGCATTTGATTTTGGGTTCTTGGTCATGAACTCTTTGCCTAAGTCAATGTCTACAAGAGTTTTTCCCATGTTCTTCTAGAATTTTTATGGTTTCAGGTCTTAGATTTAAGTATTTGATCCATCTTGCATTGATTTTTGTGTAAGTTAAGAGGCAAGGATCCAGCTTCATTCTACATGTGGCTTGCCAATTATCCTAGCACCATTTGTTGAATAGCATGTCCTTTACCCACTTTATGCTTTTGTTTGCTTTGTCAAAGATTAGTTGGCTTTAAGTATTTGGTTTTATTTCTGGGTTCTCTATTTTGTCCCTCTGGTCTATTTGCCTTTTTATGTCTATGTCCCACCGGTCTATGTCCCACTGCTCTATGTAACATCCTGTTTTGGTAACTATAGCCTTGTAGTATAGGTTGAAATAAAGTAATGTGATGCTTCCAGATTTGTTCTTTTTGCTTACTATTACTTTGGCTGTGTGGGCTCTTTTTAGGTTCAATATGAATTTTAGGTTTGTTTTTTCTAATTCTGTGAAGAATGATGATGGTATTTTCATGGGAATTGCTTGAATTTGTGGTTGCTTTTGAAAGTAAGATCATTTTTGCAATATTGATTCTATTCATCTATGAGCATGGGATGTGTTTCCATTTGTTTGTGTCAGGTATGATTTCTTTCAGCAGTGTTTTATAGTTTTCCTTGTAGAGATCTTTCACCTCCTTGGTCAGGTATATTCCTAAATACTTTATTTACTTTTTTTTTTTGCAGCTGTCTTAAAAGGGGTTGAGTTCTTGATTTGGTTCTCAGCTTGGTTGTTGTTGGTGTATAGCAGTTTTACCAATTTCTATATATTGATTTTGTATTCTGAAGCTTTACTGAATTCATTTATCTGATCTAGGAGCATTTGAAGGAGTCATTAGGGTTTTCTAGAGAAGTCAGGGTTTTCTAGGTATACAATCATATCATTGGGAAACAGCAACAGTTTGACTTCCTCTTTACTGATTTGGATGCCTTTTATTTCTTTCTCTTGTCTGATTGCTCTGGTAGGACTTCCAGTACTATGTTGAATAGACGTGGTGAAAGTGGGCATTTTTGTCTTGTTTCAATTCTCAGGGTTAATGCTTTCAACTTTTCCCCATTCAACATAATGTTGGCTGTGGGTTTGTCATAGATGGCTTTTATTACTTTGAAGTATGTTCATTCTATGCTGATTTTGCTGAGGGTTTTAATCATAAAGTGATGCTGGATTTTGTCAAATGTCTTTTCTGCATCTATTGAGATAATCATATGATATTTATTTTTAATTCTGTTTATGTGATGTATTACATTTATTAACTTGTGTGTGTTAAACCATCTCTGCATCCCTGGTATGAAACCCACTTGATCATGTTGGATTATCTTTTTGAAATGCTGTTGGATTTAGTTGGCTAGTATTTTGTTCAGGATTTTCTCATCTATGTTCAACAGGGTCATTGGTCTGCAGTTTTCTTTTTTTATTATGTCCTTTCCTGTTTTTGGTATCAGGGTGATACTGGCTCCATAGAATGATTTAGGGAAGATATCCTCTTTCTCTATCTTTTGGAATAGTTTCAGTAAGATTGGTACCAATTATTCTTTGAATGTCTGATAGAATTCAGCTATGAATCCATCCAGTCCTGGACTTTTTTTGTTGGCATTTTTTTTTTATTACTTAATCTCACTACTTGTTATTGGTCTGTTCAGAGTTTCTATTTCTTCCCGATTTAATCAAGGGGCATTGTGTATTTCCAGAAATGCATCCAAATCCTCTGGATTGTCCAGTTTGTATGCATAAAGGTGTTCATAGTTGCCTTGAATGATCTTTCATATTTCTGTGGTATCAGTTGTAATATCTCCCATTTCATTTCTAATTTAGCTTATATGGATCTTCTCTCTTCTATTCTTGGTTAATTGCACTAATGGTCTACCAATTTTGTTTATCTTTTCAAAGAACCAGCTTTATGTTGCATTTATCTTTTGCATTTTTTTTGTTGTTGTTTCCATTTCATTTATTTTTGCTGTGATCCTTGTTATATTTTTTCTTCTGCTGGGTTTGGGTTTGTTTTTTTCTTGTTTCTCTAGTTCCTTGATGTATGACTTTATATTGTCTATTTGTGCTCTTTCAGACTTTTTGATATAGGTATTTAATGCTATGAACTTTCTACCCTAGCACCAGTTTTGCTGTATCCCAGAGGTTTTGAAAAGTTGTGTCACTATTATTGTTCAGTTCAAAGAATTTTTAAAGTTCCATCTTGATTTCATTGTTGACCCAAAGATCATTGAGGAGCAGATTACTTAATTTTCATGTATTTGTATAGTTTTGAGGGTTCCTTTTGGAGCTAATTTCCAATTTTATTCCACTATAGTTTGAGAGGGTACTTGATATAACTTCAATTTTCTAAAATTTATTGAAACTTGTTTTTTCACCTATTTTATGTTGTATCTTGGAGAATGTTCCATGTGCTGATGAAAAGGATGTATATTCTGCAGTTGTTGGGTAGGATGTTCTGTAAATATCTGTTAAGTCCATTTGTTCTAGGGTATAGTTTAATTCGATTGTTTCTTTGTTGACTTTCTGTCTTGACAACCTGTTTACTCGTGTCAGTGCAGTACTGAAGTCCCCCAGTTACTGTGTTGCCATCTATCTCATTTCTTATGTCTACTAATAATTGTTTCATAAATTTGGGAGCTCTCATGTTGGGCGCATATGTATTTAGGATTGTGATATTTTCCTGTTGGACTGATTTTTTAAATCATCATATAATGTTCTTGTTTGTCTTTTTTTTTTGACATGGGGTCACACTCTGTTGCCCAGGGTGGAGTGCAGTGGTGTGATCTTGGCTAACTGCAAGCTCTTGTTTGTCTTTTTTAACTGTTGTTGCCTCAGAGTCTGTTTTGTCTGATATAAGAATAGCTACTCCTGCTTGCTTTTCATGTCTGTTTGCATGGAATATCTTTTTCCACCCCTTTACCTTAAGTTTATGAGTCCTTATATGTTAGGTGAGTCTCTTGCAGATAGCAGATACTTGACTGGTGGATTTTTATCCATTCTGGCATTCTGTATCCTTTAAGCAGAGCATTTAGGCCTTTTACATTCAATGTTAGTATTGAGACGTGAGGTACTGTTTTATTTATTGTGCTAGTTTTTGCCTGAATACATTGTTGTTGTTGTTGTTTTTCCACTGTGTTATTGTTTCATAGGCTCTGTGAGATTTGTGCTTTAAGGAGGTTCTGCTTTGGTGAATTTTGAGGTTTTGTTTCAAGATTTAGAACTCCTTCTAGCCTTTATTGTAGTGCTGGCTTGGTAGTTGTTAACTCTCAGAAAGACTGAAAAAGACTTTCTCCTTCATTTATGAAGCTTAGTTTTGCTGGATACAAAATTCTTGGCTGGCAATTACTTTGTTTGAGGAGGCTAAAGATAGGACCCCAGTCCCTTCTGGCTTGTAGGGTTTCTGCTGAGAAATCTACTGTTAATCTGAGAGGTTTTCCTTTATAGATTAGCTGATGCTTTTGCTTCTTAGCCCTCAAGATTCTTTCCTTTGTTTGACTTTAGATAACCTGATGATTATGTGCCTGGGCGATGATCTTTTTGTGATGAATTTCCCAGGTGTTCTTTGAGCTTCTTGTATTTGGATGTTTGGATCTCTAGAAAGGTCATGGAAGTTTTCCTCAATTATTCCTTCTAAGGAATTTTCTAAACTTTTAGATTTATCTTCTTCCTCAGGAACACTAATTATTCTTAGGTTTGGCCATTTAATATAATCTCAAATTTCTTGGAGTCTTTATTCATTTTTTTTAGAAATTATTTTTTCTTTTTCTGATTGGGTTGATTTGAAATCCTTGTCTTTGAGCTCTGAAGTTCTTTCTTCTACTTGTTTGATTCTATTGTTGAAACTTTCCAGTGCATTTTCTATATCTTTAAGTGTGTCTTTCATTTTCAGAAGTTGTGATTGTTTTTTTCTTTTTGATATCTATTTATCTGGACCATTTTTTCATCCATATCCTGTATTTTTAAAAATTTCTTTTCATTGCTTTTCAGTTTTCTCTGGTATATCCTGGAGTAGCTTAATAATCTGCCTTCTGAATTGTTTATTTGACAATTCAGAGGTTTCTTCTTGGTTTGGATTCATTGCTGGGGAGCCAGTGTGGTCTTTTGCGGGTGTTATAGAATCTTGATTTGTCATATTACCAGAATTACTTTTCTGATTCCTTCTCATTCAGGTAGACTATTCCAGTGAAAAAATCTGGAATTCAAGGGCTGCTGTTCAGACTCTTTTGTCCCATGGGGTGGGGTGGTCCCTTGCTGTGGTGCACTGTCCCTTCCCCTTCCCCTAGGGATGGGGCTTCCTACGAGCCAGACTGGAGTGATTGTTACTGCTCTTCTGGGTCTAGTCACCCAGTGGGACTACCAGCCTTTGGGCTGGTGCTGGGGAGTGTCTGCAAAGAGTCCTCTGATGTGATTCATCTTTAGGTGTTTCAGCCATAGGTACCAGCACCTGCTCTGGTGGAGGTGTCAGGAGAGTGAAGTAGCTTCTGTGAGAGTCCTTGTAGATATATTTAGTGTGCTGGCTTTCTTGAATGCTCATTATGCTAACAGTGAAGTTGTCACATGGACAGACTCAGGACCACTGGTTAGCCAGGATGTTACAGGCAGTGGGATTAGCTGTTGTTTTCTCCTTCCTTGGAGCAGGGTTGTTCTGTCATGAGTTGCTGTAATGTCCTGAGTTTGTTGGCCTCCAGCCAGGAGGTGGTGCTTTTGAGAAAGCACCAGTTTTTCACCTGTCTCATGGAATTTGCAGCAACCTGTTGCTCCATTCAAAGGATCTGATTATTTAAAACATAGAATAATTCACACATTGATTCAGCAAATATTTGTTAAATGCCTATCGTGGTAGGTATTATTCTAGACACTGCTGTTGTAGAAGGAAAAAAACAAAGTATTTGCTCTTCTAGAACTTACTTTATAATAGAAGAGATAGAACATAAACAAGTAAATATAGATCACAGTGTCATACAGTAGTAAGTGTTATAAAAAATGAAATAGAGTGAGAGATGAGAGACTCAGAGAGTCTTCAGATAGGGTGGTCAGGGAAGGCTTGCCTGAGTAGGTGACATTTAAGCAGATAATTTTTTTCTTCATTTATGTGACAGATATTTATTGAACACTCAATATGTATAGGTCACTATGCTTGCTACTGTACGGTTACAGATTAAGACAAGATGCATGGTTTCAGAATTTATAATTTAGCCAAGGAGCTGAAACTGTATAACATTAAATGTTACAAGTTAAATGTGAATGATGTTAAGAGGTCAGAAGAGGAACTATTTCTTTTAATCCTAGTTATTAAGGAATTCTACCTGAATAAGATGGGCCTTAGAGAGTTGGTGTGTGAATAGGTAGATGTGGGTCTGTGTGTAAAAAGAAATTCATAGAGGCATGAAAAAGTATACCATGAATGAAAACAAAACCGACAGAAATATAAGAGGTACCTAGAGAAGACTAAGAATATTGTTTGGGTTGGACAAGAAGGTGTACTTCAGAAACTTAGCTCCTAACAATTCAAAACAGCTACTGCAAGCAAAAAATAAATTTAAAACTTTGAATTCTTTTTTTGAAATTCAGGCAAACTTTGCGTTCTCTTGCATTAATTCATCTATCTTTATTTTAATAGAAAATTATTCTTCCTTAAACTTTTTGAGCAAAATTAACACTTAAGAAGGTGTACCATATTTACTCTATGGCTTCCAGTGCCTCTCTCAAATACTTAATTGGATATTCATATATAACTGAAAAGCAAGGATAGAAGAATAGAGGGAAATAATTCTGAAAACATAGATTAGATCTATGTATTATTGGGTCTTAAATAACAGAGCTCCACATTTGAATTTTATCATATACTAAACGAAAAAACTAGCAAAGGCTTTCTAATGGGGCATTAGCCTTATCTTTTATCATGTTGTTTTCTCCATCCAGAGTGTTTTCATCTTGCAAATCCTACCCATATTTTATGGTCCAGTTCAAATATCAGTGTTCAACTCAGCCTTCTTTGATTTCTATGCTGGCCTTTCATGGCAGTTGATCAGTAATGCCTTAGCACTTACCACATTTTACCTTGAATTTTAGTCATTTTATGCTGACGGCTCTGTACCCTGCATCACTATGAACAAAGTGACTTCCACATGGCAAATAAGAAATTCTTATAGAATAAATGAAAATGCCCCAGAGTAGAATAATTAATCTAGTAGCCAGATGAAGAATGTGCCAGAGATGGGTAGACTAGAAGCAGTAAAATTTGTCAGTACGCTGTTACAATAAGTCAACCATGAGGTAGTTAGCACAGAACTAGGAAACTGTCATTGACTGTTTGAAGTAAAATAGTAAGAAACGAATATGTAACATATTGCAGAGATATAATCTAAGTATTTGATTTGACTGGGGAAGAGAAAGACACCCAAAGAGGCTGGAATGTTGGTCTATTAACCATATTTGGGAATTGCAGACAGAGGGCTGGTATGGAGGGAAGATGTCAAATTTGGATTTTTGACATGTTGAGATCTTTTGCAGATGGAAGCATTATACAGAACTGTCAACTGGCAAATGGAAACTATTTCTAGCAAAGATTATGAATGAAGAGAATTTAAGAGCCATTTGTATAGCAGTGACATTGGAACTCATGGTGATATATGAAATCTCTAAGCCAGTTTGAGTGGATAGAGAGAAAGGGAGGAATGAAGATAAGGAATGTTCCATTGTGTATATATACCACATGTTAAAAAGGGTGAGAGAAAGAAGGGAATAGAAAATAAAGAGTGGGGAAAGAAAGATCAGGAGGCAGGAAGAGAAGCAGAACATACTGGAAACTCTGAGGCTGAGGAGTAACACTGGTAGGACAACTAAGAGACCTTTAGAGTGGTGGGAATAAAAGATTTCAGGAAGGTGAAGAGAGAATGATGGTGAAAGACCCCATAACTTTGGTTGCAAATGCTCACATGAGATCTAGATGGCTCTAGAAGGAACAAGAGGCTTAGTATAGGCTGATGGCCAGAGCTCGGATCATCAAGTGAAAACAGGGTGGTATTAATGCCCCAACAATGGAATCTTTACACTCCTCCCTTCCCCACCAGGCACAAGGCATTTCATTCTTTGCCCATCCTGTCCTGTCCTCAAATTTATCAGCAGTGCCAGAAGATACTGACCTCTCTAATACTGTTCTTTCTGTTCAAAATGTATCTGTCCTATGTCCTACTTCTTTGGGGTGGCATTTTCCAAGTATGTTCCACAAATTGTAGTTCTTCAAGATGCTGTAGACTCCAAGAGAATGGATTCTGTGATCAGGTAAGTCTTGAAAATGCCACAAGGAGTGCTAAATATCCTGAGAAAATTGATGAAAAAAAACCCTTATTGACTTTGTTTGAAGTACAAAACATTATTTGTTCATAGGCCTGCCCCCTCTTTTAATTGTTATTGCTATAAAACTCGGTGATTTCATAATACCCATGTGGGGAAACTTTGCTTTAGGGTCGTGGTGATGGATAATTAATCTGATAAATTGTTACATGGTTTGTTGTTAACGATTATGAAAGGATAATTAACCTTCTATTGTCAAAAATTTATAATTTACCAGATAATTTAATGAGGTAATAAAAATGTTTAGTGTGGGAAACTCAGTATTATGGTTGTCAAGTGGGGATAAATTTTGGGCAGCATAGTCTTTTAAAAGTCTTGGATCACATCATTCAAGTGGATAGTGGCTACTCAATGTCTACATCAATTTTAGATCCACAGCTAAATTCTATATCCTTTTTGCTAGGGCTATTACTGTGTTTCGACCCCAAAACTTCAATCAATTTTTCATCCAGCCTGAAGAATGGAAAGGAGGTATACAGCACCATGATGACATCTTGTGTGCTGCGTTTTTACCTCCACAAACTCTTGTTACGGGTAAATTGAACTTTCACTTGACAATCATTGGTGAAGTTTGATTTGTTTTGGTTTGTTTTGGCTCACTCACCTTTAGAAAAGCTTTTTCTCAGTTGTTTTATATATATATATATGTATATGTATGTGTGTGTGTGTGTATATATATATATATATATATGTGTGTGTATATATATATATATATATGTATTTTGAGATGGGGTCTTACTCTGTTGCCCAGGCTAGAGTGCAGTGGCCAGATCTCAGCTGATTGTAACCTCCACCTGCCAGGTTCAAGTGATCCTCCCACCTCAGCCTCCTGAGTAGCTGGGACCACAGGCACGCCCCACCATGCCTGGCCAGTTTTTTGTATTTTTAGTAGAGATGGGTTTTTGCCATGTTGTCCAGGCTGATCTCAAACTCCTGAGCTCAAGCAATTCACCTGCATCAGCCTCCCAAAGTGCTGGGATTACAGGCGTGAGCCACTGTGCCCGGCCATATATTTCTTTTTAAATTTATGATTGACACATAATATTAATAATTGTACATATTTATGAGGCACAACATGATGTTTCAATACATGTATAAATTGTGCAATGATCAGATCATGGTAATTAGCATATTAATAGCCTTACACATATATCATATCTTAGTGATGAGAACATTAAAAAATCTTTTTTCTAGCTATTTTGAAGTATACAATACATTATTGTTAACTCTAGTCATCCTACTATGCAATAGAACACCAAAACTCATTCCTCCCATATAACTAGCTTTTTACCCATTGACCAATCTCTCACCCCTCCTGTCTCCCCTCCCCATCCTCTGGTATCCACTGTTCTACTCTGCTTTTATGAGAATAACTTTTTAGATTCCACAACTAAGTGATATGATGTGATATTTGTCTTTATATGCCTGGCTTATTTCACCTAACATAATGTCCACCAGGTTCATTCATGTTGCTGCAAATGACAAGCTTTTATTCTTTTTATGGCTGAATACTATTCCAGTGTGTATATATACCACATTTTCTTTATTCATTTATTCATTGATGGACATTTAAGTTGATTTTATATCTTGGCTTTTGTGAATAATGCTGCAAAAAACATAAGGGTGTGGTGCAGATATCTCTTCCACATGCTGATTTCATTTCCTTACCCAGTAGTGGAATTTCTGGATCATATGGTAGTTCTATTTTCAATTCCTCCATATCATTTTCCATAAAGGCTATACTAATTTACATTCCCACCAGCCATATGTAAGTGTTTCCTCTGCCCCATATCTTCACCAATACTTTTATCTTTTGATTTTTTGATAGGAGCCATTCTGACTGGAATGAAGTGATGTCTCACTCACTTAGGTTGTTTTGATTTGTATTTCCCTGATAATCAGTGATGTTGAACATTTTTTCGTATGTCTGTTGGCCATTTGTGTGTCTTCTTTTGAGAAATGTTTATTCAGGTCTTTTGTCCATTTTTAAATCAGGTTTTCTTTGTTGCAGAGTTGTTTGATTTTGTTATATATTTTGGATATTAACCCCTTATACTATCAGATGTAAAGTTTGCAACTATCTTCTCCCATTTTGTAGGTTGTCTCTTTGCTTTGTTGATGGTTTCCTTTGAGCATGAATAGATTTTTGAAGAAGCAGCACTTGCTCTTCTTTATCCTTATTTCTAGGGAAATATATTGGTAGTTCTGATCATCAGCTCCTGTGCCTGGCTGTCTGATTTCCCCTCACGGCTCTACCAATTGCCACAACTTGATAATGAGCAAGTTATTTAAACTCTAAATCATAATTTTGTCTGGCTGATAATAATATATCTATATTTTGGTTTATAGTTCAGATTATCTGTGCAAGCATTTAACACAGTGCTCAGCACACAATAAGCTCATCCATAAATATTAGCTTTTATTTGTATTGTCCATTTTCCAGGAGCAGCTTTAGGGCTGTCAGGTACGAATCACACGTTGGTGGCACTTAGATGTTTCATAATGTGAACATAGTAACTCTTTGGCATAATTTAGCCCAGATAATGTTGATAAAAGTCTGTCCTCACAAAATGTCTACAAATCCAAGCTCTTAAAATGATTCATAGGCATGCTTTGATGTGGCATATTAAAGAGAATGAAAAATTGTTGTATCATTTCTGGCCAAAGAATGCAATTTATAGAGACAGATTGCACCATGAAATTTTCAAGTCCATATTTTGACAGCTGAATTTTTTTTATAGAACCAAAAATGTCATCAATTAAGAGGAATGAAAACTTACAGGAAAAGATCCAGGGTATCTATGAAGTGTTACAATATGAGGTTTACTGATCTATCTATATTTAAAGTTCCCCTGTTTTCAGGACTAATGAAATTACTTTCTAGTAAGGCCAACTCTGTAGGTAAATTAGCTTTATAGCCACTGGAAGGCCACCCCTGCAGGGAGGATCACATCCTGAAATGTGATGGGCACTGAAGTGTAAAATGGTGTGGTTGTTATTGTGAAAGTATTAGTAAATACCGTTGTATTGGTGGGTAGACAATCTCTTCACTCATTCTCCTCCCATCAATCCTATGTGGAAATATTTGGTCAGTCACTGCTAGTAAAGCATAGGAGAAGATGGATATTTCTATGGACAGCTGAACTCCATCCCCCTGGTTCAATTTGTGAGCTTCAGAGATTGTGCTTTCTTTTTCTTTTTTTTTGGATGGAGTGGAGTCTCACTCTGTCGCCCAGGCTGGAGTGCAATGGTGTAATCTCGGCTCACTGCAACCTCTGCCTCCAGGGTTCAAGTGATTCTGCTGCCTCAGCCTCCCTAGTAGCTGGGATTACAGGCACATGCCACCACACCCAGCTAAGTTTTTTTTTTTGTATCTTTAGTAGAGACGGGGTTTCACCATGTTGGCCAGGCTGGTCTCGAACTCCTGACCTCCTGATCTGCCCACCTCGGCCTCCCAAAGAGATTGCTCTTTCTAGGACAATACAGAGTTTGGTGTGCATTTCTCTCTCCTCTCCCCTAATCCCAAAAAAGTCACCATTTGTACATCCCACCCAAACTCTTCTGCTCTCCTTACCATAGACACTCTGCTCAGTGGGTAGCTGTCCTCACTGAGCCACTGAGAACAATGGTCTGGGCGTTGCTGCTTTGTTCCTCCACAGGACATGGTTGCTCAGACTTCACCTCACTTTGGGCTTTTGGGCTATTTGGGCTTTTCTCTGTTCTCTGTGAAGAGCAGTACTGAAGGACTTTCTGTAGGAAAAACTTCAGGATTGGAGAAGACAATATTCAATAAAGACAATATTCAGTATTCAATATAGGAGGGAAAGTATGAAGAGAAGACACACACACCCACCCACACACATACACACACAAGAAGGGATGTAGGAAACAGAAACATAGGAGGACTTGATTTACTTGCTTTTACCCAATAATAAAAAGTAGGATGGTAATTAACATTTTTTCCAGTACTTACAATATGCTCAGTGCTATTGTAAATACTTTCATTCTCTACAATAACCCTATGAGATAAATAAAATTATTAACTCTTTTTTATAGATGAGAAAATTGCAGCATCAAGCAGAGTTAAATAACATGCCCAAGGTCACACAGTAAGTGGGAGAACCAAGACTCAAGCTCCAGTTTTTTATTTGCAAAGCATCTGTTCTGAATGCTTTATTACCATAAAATAAAAGGAAACAACAGTAATTTCTACACACCCATGCTCAGGTTATACTGTGGGGATTGTAAGCTCTAGAGTTAAAACAAATACCAATTATTATTATTCATGTTTCTAAAAATATAGAGTGCCCACTATGTGCCATATTCTGTGGAAGATATGTTGCTAATAACTTCTTCTGATTGCTGTTGCTCATATTTTCTATCTTAATCTCCTGGCAATTTATATTCTCCATCCTGTCTTGTGTAGGGAGTTATGATGGAGAAATTGTTCTATGGAACAATAGCACAGAGAATGCTCACCATGTTCTTCACCCTGATTACCAGAGGTTGCTAAAGTCAAAATTAGGTAAGTGTGAGTTTGAAACGAAAATAACATGGCTAGTCAAATCACAGTAGGCCTGGTTGTTCATGCATGTGCCTGATGCGACTTGATCCTAAATTATAGATGATTGGCTATAAGCCTGAAGGATTAAGGATATCATTGTCTTGCCAAAGTAGCTAAAGAGAACCTTGAGATTTACTTGGCTTAGCACACTCTCCATGGCATGCCATTTCTTCTCTTTATGCTACATTGGTATTTCTGAACTACCGACAGCAGGGAGCAAGACTGTCATTTTTATTTAGTTTATTTTTTTTCAATAAACCTTGCCAAATTACCTAAGAGTGAACGTTAGATACCCTTTGGTAAAAAAATGGAAATTCATGTTCACTCGATAGGCTGTTCAGACTCAATCTAGAGCTTGTAATAAATATTATGCCACCTGGAAATCTTAAATTATTCCTTGCTTTAGAAGCCCATGAGGAACATTAGATGGGAGTATATTGTATTTTATGGGAGTTTAGCAGAGCACATGAATATTTTATACTTAAGTAAAATGTCTTGACAATTGCCTTTCACATTTTATTTCAGTTTCCTTAGATACTAAAGGTTTTTCTTTAGACTAATTTATTTTGGTAATGAAAATGTCATTCTTCATGGCCCAGTGAGGTTCTGTTGTCTCAACTGAATAAACTCATAGAGGCTGAATTGAACTTTAGGAATGGACTGATCATCAGATGCAGTTTTCTTTTTGGGTGAAAAGCTGAGAAGCTATTTTCTTAAGAGTAGGAAAACAAACTTAAGAGATTTAGGGGATACTTGGTTGCAAACACAAAGCTCTGACCTGCTTTATGTACTAAGAGCTAATCATTTTAAGATTCATCTGAACTTGCCATGAGGAGGTTGGAATTCTGCCTCTTCTTCTACACTGGGCTTTACAATACACAGAGAGATAATTAATGAGAAAAGTGAATAAATATCAAATTTCTAAAAGACATGAAAGGCATTGCAATAGATTTCTTATTTTGGAATTTTGAAAATACGTCTGTATAGATTTTTCATAACTATGGGCAGACTGTTCCTAGATTCTGAGACGAATATCCCCAGTGTTTACTAGTGTGGCCTGGAGATGATGTCATTAGATAATTGAAGTATGCTTAGAAATGTTTTCTCCAGAGTAACTCGCTAACAAATAGTATTGTTAAAAAGGCTCATTTAATTAAACATAAATAGTCTTTAGAACTCATGTTCATTATAATATTTCCAAGATTAATTTTAATGATTAATAAGTTGAAAATGCCACAGTATTGGAATTACGTTTGTCCTGGGCATATTAGGATCCCTAAGATGTTAGCATTGATGCCAATATTAAGTTCTTACTTAATTCATATCAAGTGAAAACAGAGCAAGTGTGTATGGAACATGAAAAACAAAAATAATGTCAAACAATTCTTCAAGTTGGGGTTGAGAAATAGCAGAAGGCTTGATAGATGTTGACTGGAAGTCTCTTGTGAGACTTGGAGTCAATGGATATAGTGATAGATGTGGGCCTGCTATTTCATAGGCATTAGTTTGAAAAGCAGATATTTTTCTTCATTAATATACTTGGCTTTGTCTCCCTCACAGATACAAAACCTCAAAAACTTCTCAGTGCTGGGAGAAGCCAACCCTCCCACCCCATGGCAGACCATTCTACCACGGGAGTCCGCAACTTTGAGATTGACACTGAGGGCAAAAATGCTGTTATGAGACTTTGCTTTCTTAAAGCAAGAAAAAACACTGCAGTGACAGGTAAAATATATATTTACATTTTACATATAGTTGGAAAGGGAGCAATAAAGAAAATCCAATCTATTTCTACTAGATCTTGTAGAATTTGACTGCACGTAGCTAACCAGTCAGTAGTGTGTCAAGTGAGGTCACAGACCATGGCAAAGGAAGTTGGAATTGAGGAGGATGGATTCAAGAGCAGGAGCCAGACTACATCCCACTACTAATTTATCCAGTGTTGTATATGTCAAGATCAAGATGGGAAAAATTCTGACAAATTATTGGATACGGGCAACAATCAGAATTGTTGTCCCAGACCTGTCATAAAGAGGTTTTAATACAGTAGGGGCACAGCAAGATGTATGCCGAAGTCAAAGCTTAAGTCCACATATAGCAGAAAAGTTGAGTCTGAGACTGACTATATGAGCACCTAATCAAAATAGGCTGGAAGAGAATAATGAGGAGCATGGATGTTAAGAACAGTAACAGAATTTGAAAGAATTGCTAATCCCAGGACAAGAGCTGCCTGCTCTCTTCTCTGTTCTCATCGTTTTGTTTTTTTTTTTAAGTATTGGTTATATCTTCTCCAGAGATGTATACTAACATTGATGCTATTTTATGATTTACTGTAGTTATATGATATTATGTAAGTGAAATAACCATTTGCTTAATTTTTTCCTTGTTGTCAGTGGCAATATTAGCATGGTGTTGATGCAGCCTGCATCTTTCCAAAATGAAAATCTGCCTTGGAGAATAATGTATATTTTTTTACCTTTCATCTAAAATAACAATCGTATCTTCAGGGTATATTTTTCTTAACATTAGGAACTAGACATATATGTATTATGTATTTGAAAAGGAAATGAACATATCTGAATTATGTTTATTGTTTCCCATATTTAATTTACAGATGAAAATCTGTATAATTTTCATATAAAATTTTTAATCATTAAGAATCAATAAAGGTATAGTTTAAAAACATTCTGGGATGTTTAGAATAAACTTTGAAACAATTAGATTCTAAAACTTTCCATTTTCTAGAACTTGCTTATACTCACAATATGAATTATTATCCTGAAATTACTCTCATTTCCTCAATACTAATTTTAATGTTATCAGTATTCCCAGATTGTTCTCACTGAAGCAGCTACATGTTATTATTTCTACCTTAAATAGATATGATTGTTTATTGGCAGTACATTTGTGAAGCAAACTGGAAGTCATCTACAGATTTATCAAATAATAGGAACCTTGCCACAAAAGAATAACTTAGGTAAAGTGCTTCAACAAAACCTATAAAAATGGAAAATGAAAAGGTTAGTTCTAGGCTCATTCACCAAAAAGGGGTTTTATAAGGGTTTACAATGAATTATTGATGAAAACATTTAAAGAAAGCTCATAAATAGAATTCTAAGCATGCTGCCAAACGGAGAAGTCAATAGCTATTCTGCTATCACTACATATTCCATCCAAATCTGTGCATATGGACTTTTACTTCATTGTATATGTCCAGTGGGTTATTAGGGAAGATTAATTTTATATAATGAGAATATTATCATAATGTTGGAATTAATATTTCATGTTTTATCTGAAGAAACAATTCTATCTAACTTTTAAATACCCCCAAAACATCAGAATAATGAATGAAGAAAAGGGAACTAAACGTAATGGAACACTTCAATATCCTATCTCATTTAATACTCAACACAAACCAGTGAGGTTATCATAGCGTCACCTCCATTTTATATTTGAGAAAATTAAAGTGGTGCTGGGAATTGATCTCAGGGCTACTCACCTCTTCAACATCACATGCTTTCCACAGGGAAAGCCACTGAAGAAGTTATTTCTGGCATTTGTTGTTCAGTTTTCTAGTTAGATTTTTCCCTTACATGTTAGGAGGAGCTAACCTGGTATCATGTGGAGGATCTGGTTATGTCAGATTTTGGGATATATATAAGAAGCAACTTCTGGCTGAATTTTTGGCTCATAGTGGAGTTGGATCGATTATTATGTCTACTGATAAGATGAATCGATACCTTACCACAGGAGATCTTGATGGATGGTTGAAAATCTGGAATATAGAGGTAAATTGAAAAACATTATCACATTACCTTTAAGATTTTTGGTGACCCTTTGTTGCAGGTAACTATGAATCAAGCCTTGTCTGTCTCCTAAACAAAGGAAAAAATGTATAGTCTAAGTGTTTTAAATAAAACATTTACAAGTTTCATGCAGAGACTTCTTTTAAATAATTAATGAGGAAAATCATGTTTTTCTCAATATTGACAACCTTCTGTTAAGTAAGTCATCCAATTTAGAAATGCAATATTGTTAGTAAAGCACTGCAGCATTATTT
Organism: Homo sapiens; assembly: GCF_000001405.40. Lineage (NCBI taxonomy): Eukaryota > Metazoa > Chordata > Mammalia > Primates > Hominidae > Homo > Homo sapiens. The sequence continues at coordinate 167,528,779 of NC_000003.12, read as the reverse complement.
GAATGTAAATAATTAGGATACACCTTATTTTTAATGTATGTATGTATTTATTTATTTATTTTGAGACAGGATCTCCCTCTGTCACCTAGACTGGAGTGCAGTGGCATGATTATAGCTCTCTGCAACTTCAAACTCCTGGTTCCAGCCATCCTCCCACCTCAGCCTCCTGAGTAGCTAGGACTACAGGAGTGTTCCACTATGCCCAGCTAATTATTTTATTTTATTTTATTTTATTTTATTTTATTTTATTTATTTTACTTTTTGTAGAGACAGGGTCTCACTAGGTTGCCTGGGGTGAGGCTACACCTTATCTGCAATGAGATTGTAAATGTAATTTAAATACTAGAGGACTATTCCTTCATTTAACATTATTGTTACCCTGAGTTAGTTTGGGATTTTTTCTTTTTTATCACTGATTACCTGCTCAATTTTCTAATAATATTTGAACGTTGTATATGTGACCACCTGTATGTGGTAAAGTTCATCTCTATCAAATAATTGGCTTTACTATTTATATTTTTCTTTCCTTCCTCCTTCCCCACTAGTTCCTTTTTTTTATTTCCCAAGTAATCAGATAAGTTAGAAACCTTTTTTTAATGTAATTTCGTTTTCTAGCCTCTTTTATCATGAACTTTTCTTTTGCATTTGGATCATAGGTTATTGTTCCCAAGTTTGAAAATCGGCCTTTTTTTAAAAGTGTTATGTCATTGTAATCATTTCATATTTGAATTTTTTAGAGTTCTGGTATTTCTTTTCATTCAGGAGTACTGTCTTAACTCCAGTAAGAACAAAATCACCAAGGCCCCAACTCTGATAAGATCATTCCAACCTCATGAGGACCGAATAAGTTCCTTAGAGATGTGTGAGCCAGGTGGTCAGTTACTGATTATCTCCTCCTCTGCAGACTGCAGTATTTGTGTGACTGGTGTCTGCAATGCTCCTGTTTGGATCTTTGGTCAGGTAGAAATATTGCTTCTTTATTATTCTAGTATTTACTTGACATTTAGTATTAACTTGGGCTGATTTCTATTTGAATCTCATCAGCTGTTTAATGTTCATTAGTCATGAAAGAACTGACAACATTTCCGAAGCAGTAGCTCCAGGCGACTCTTGCCCTGTTTTCCATTAACCAAGACAGTTCCATCAAGTGGAAGACACCAGAGACATGGAAAGATGGGGGCTCTGTGCAGCTCAAAATATTCTAGGATTTCTGAGAAAAAATTCTCCTCTAGAATAAATTTCTTCAATTTCAACATTTAGTAAAAGTTCAACGTGGATAAAATGATCATGTAACTAAAAAGACAGGTGATTATGACTGTTAACTAAGAACGTAATAATCAAATGCAGAAAATTTTAGAAAAAAAAACCAATCATCCTATTCATTATCTGGTTTACTGCTGCCAAATAATAATAGTTAACATTTGCTGAGTTTTTCTTGTGTACGTGGGGTACTGTTCTAAGATGTTTTTCAAGAATTAACTCATTTAATCTTCACAATTGCTCAACTCAGGAGGGAGCAGCTCTCACAATTCCCATTTTACAGATAAGGAAACAGAGGCACAGAGAGTTTGAATAAATCACCTGAGCTCACAGAAGCTAATCGTGGTAGAGTTTTGTTTTTAACTCAAGTTGGGTCACTTCAGAGCTCACATTTTTAACCCCTTTCTCAAGATCTGACTTGCTCCTGCCTATGAAATGAAATGGAAATGGGAGTCATGAAAGAAAGGAAATATTTAGTCTCATATTTTCTGTTATTTTTTCCTTTTGCTTTCTTGGGAACTTTTCCTGTTCCATTTGTGCTTTTGCGGACAAAATATGTTTCACTGGTTTCAACCAGTACTATTCAAACCTGGTATAAGTTTAAGTGAAGCCTCAATATCTGTTTGGCCAGCTGATTTGGTTCTATTTAGGAGCCTCAGGTGCCAATCTTATGCCAGGAGAGTAGGCAATTCTTTTAGTGTTGGAAGACAAGGTTTGTTGTTGCTGTATTTGTAAAGTCAGTTTGATGAGGCCAACCTGTGTGGAAAGAATTCTAAGCACCCCTTTAGGATGCAGAGGGTGTTGGTAAATCAGAAAATCATCTGGGAGGTGGACCCACATTGGCTAGACGACAGTCTCAATGTAACACTCCGGAGCTGTAGCAATCTCTTGTATTTTGTAAATAAGACAAGCACTAGACTTTTCTCAGTCAGGAAAAAAAGCGGCTAAGTGGGAACTCATACAGGCTTGTGATGAGTGAGACAGGGTGGGACATGGCTGGCAGTCTGGACAGGAAAGAGGGTGGAAGCCTGCTTCAGGCCACTGAAGAAGCCAAAGCATTGCTGACAGAGGCTGTGGCAAGATGAGGTGGAGGTTTGAACAACAGGTAAAGAAACGAAACGTCATCAAGTGGGTGACCTAAGAAGTTCCTTAGACATCCGGGGTCGAACCAAGAAATAACACCGTTCTAGGTGTAGGTGCCATATAAAGTTCACCCACCAAACATAATCTGTAGCTAAATTTTATTTTAATTCAGAAATGTGTGCTTGTAAAACTGCTTATTTTTGTATTATTGATATTATTTGTTGTTTCTGTGAAGTCTTGCTTTTTTGAAGATGCAAAAAGCCCTCATGAGAATAATTTTATTTTTTCCCTTCTGTTCAAGACAGGAGAAGAGTCATCAGAGCTGGGTCAGTTTTACAAATTGAAGGCTAGCAAATCTGGGGAAAACGGTTTTCTAGTTCCTTCTGCTTGCACTACTTCTTTTTTTTAATTTTTATTTTTTAAAGGATTGACTTTTATCAAGCTGTCTTGAATATAAGTGCCATTAGTCCCAAGATGTAGAGCAAAGAGTGTGGGGAAGAAGAAACAGAAAGGAGGGGAAAGGGAAAGGAAAAGAGGGAAAGGAAAGAGAGAGGAGAAAAGGGAAGTTTTTTTTTGTTGTTTGTTTGTTTGTTTAACAAAAAAACAAAAATTAGAATCACTTTTATAACATAGCTATTGACCTTAGGCTGGTTTTCAGGTTAGATTTTTAAAAGTAAGTTGTATGGTATGTCTATTTCTAGAGTTGGAGAAATAGGAGTGAAGAGGATTTATTCATAAATGCATGTTTATCCCACGAAGCTGACAGGTGATTGTGGGATAAGAAGAAATTCAAATGATGCTTGAAATTCTTCAGTGCCCCACTTTGTGCACTAACTACTGTTGTGCTAGGCAGAATTTATGTACTGGCAACTCTCCTCATCTGATTGATTTGATGTCCAGTGACTTTGATTGTGTCTCTTCATCCAGTGAATAATTAAAATTTGATTTAGTTGCCCACATTTAAACAATAATAGATTTCATGTAAAGATTCAAGTTTCTCATTTCTCTTAAAAAAAGAGCAATCAGGCAAGAGAAAGAAATAAAGGGTATTCAAATATGCAGAGAGGAAGTCAAATTGTCTCTGTTTGCATACAACGTGATTGTATATTTAGAAAACCCCATTGTCTCAGCCCAAAAACTCCTTAAGTTGATAAAGAACTTCAGCAAAGTCTCAGGATACAAAATTAATGTGCAAAAATCACAAGCATTCCTGTACACCAATAATAGACAAGCAGAGAGCCCAATCATGAGCGAATTCCCATTCACAATAGCTACAAAGAAAATAAAATACCTAGGAATACAACTTACAAGGGACATGAAGGACCTCTTCAAGGAGAACTACAAATCGTTGCTCAAGGAAATCAGGGAGGACACAAACAAATGGAAAAACACTCCATGCTCATGAACAGGAAGAATCGATATCATGAAAATGGCCATACTGCCCAAAGTAATTTATAGATTCAATGCTATTCCCATCAAGCTACCATTGGCTTTCTTCACAGAACTGGAAAAAACTACTTTAAATTTTATATGGAACTGAAAAAGAGCCCATGTTGCCAATACAATCCTAAGCAAAAAGAACAAAGCTGGAGACATCATGCTACCTGACATCAAACTATACTACAAGGCTACAGTAACCAAAACAGCATGGTACTGGTACCAAAACAGATAAAGAGACCAATGGAATAGAACAGAGGCCTCATAAATAACACCACACACCTACAACCATCTGATCTTTGACAAACCTTACATAAACAAACAATGGGGAAATTATTCCCTATTTAATAAATGGTGCTGGGAAAACTGGCTAGCCATAAGCAGAATACAGAAATTGGACCCCTTTCTTATACCTTATACAAAAATTAACTCAAAATGGATTAAAGACTTAAATGTAAAACCTAAAACTATAAAAACCCTAGAAGAAAACCTAGGCAAAACCATACAGGACATAGGCATGGGCAAAGACATCATGACTAAAATACCAAAAGCAATTGCAGCAAAAGCTGAAGTTGACAAATGCAATCTAATTAAGCTAAAAAGCTTCTGCACAGCAAAAGAAAATATCATCAGGGTGAACAGGCAACCTACAGAATGGGAGAAAATTTTTGCAATCAATCAATCTATCTATCTGACAAAGGTCTAATATCCAGAATCTATGAGGAACTTAAACAAATGTACAAGAAAGAAACCAAACAACCTCATCGAAACGTGAGTGAAGGATATGAACAGACACTTCTCAAAAGAAGGTATTTATGTGGCCAAAAAACACTGAAAAAAAGCTCATTATCACTGGTCATTAGAGAAATGCATATCAAAACCATAATGAGATACCATCCCACATCAGTTAGAATGGCAATCATTAAAAAGTCTGGAAACAACAGATGCTGGTGAGGATGTGGAGAAATAGGAATGCTTTTACACTGTTGGTGAGAGTGCAAATTAGTTCAACCACTGTGGAAGACAGTGTGGCAACTCCTCAAGGATCTAGAACAAGAAATACCATTTGATTCAGGAATCCCATTACTGAATATATACTCAGTGGATTATAAATCATTCTACTATTAAATACACATGCACATGTATGTTTTTTGCAGCACTATTTACAATAGCAAAGACTTGGAACCAACCCAAATACCCATCAATGATAGACCAGAAAAAGAAAATGTGGCACATATAAACCATGGAATACTACGCAGCCATAAAACAGGATGAGTTCTTGTCTTTGCAAGGACATGGATGAAGCTGGAAACCATCATCCTCAGCAAACTAACACAGGAACAGAAAACCAAACACCACATGTTCTCACTCATAAGTGAGAGTTGAACAATTAGAACACATGGACACAGGGAGAGGAACATCACTCACCGGGGACTGTTGCGGGGTGGGGGAAAGGGGAGGTAGAGCATTAGGATAAATACCTAATGCATGTGGAGCTTAAAACTTAGATGATGGGTTGATAGGTGCAGCAAGCCACCATGGCACATGTATACCTATGTAACAAGCCTGAATGTTCAGCACATGTATCCCAGAACTTAAGGTGGAAAAAAAAAAAAAGAATGTATGTCATTCCTTAAGAGTAACTATGGCTTTTATGTAAAATGGGTTCTCTTTAATTCAGTATAGTCTCTGAATTTTTTTATTGCCTTAAAAACTGAGGGTGAGTTTTATTTACTATTTATTACCCATTTATTTTCTTGTATTAGGTTCAATTCATTCATTGATATTATTTGACTGGCTCTGTAGGCATTTTATTCTGCAAACACTTATGACAAGTCTGATCAATTTGCGCACCAGCCAAATATCTGCAGGATGCCTACGGTTCCCCTCATATCTCACAGGCTGCATTCTCTGGAACATTCTGTGTGCATGAAGTGTATTGATATAAGATGAGAAAATTGGCTCTGTATTTAAAACATAAAATAGATTGTTAATGGGGAACTTTTGCTAGATGAATGCATTTTAAGAAGTGTAGCCAAATCTGTGAAAACTATTATATAACACACATAATTTTTAGAAAACAATATTTAATAACTGAATTGGCTTTTGAAAACATTTAAGGAGGTAACACGCAAATAAAGTAGTTGAGGGAATAAATAAGTGTGGCAATTCTTTAACAAAAGCTTTGTTTTGTTTTTAGTAAATGTACATCTGGCTATTCAGAATTTTAAAATGGGAATGGTAAAAAAATTTTTGTAGTTCATTATTATCTCTTCAGAGAATTTTTGTTTCTTATGACATATCTCATTTTCTACCTTTATTAAAGTTACATGAAACTCTTTCATTTCCCATGTAAAACTGTAAGCTTCTTGTGGACCGGAGTCATATCTTTTTCATCTTCTTGTGTGTCCCACCCCAGGACTTTAATTAGTAATCCAGCACATGGTAAACACACGTAAATGTTTGAAGAAAATAAATTTCATAAAAATAAAACAGATGTTTTCGTTTTTTTCAGGCAAAGCACTGGCATATTGAAAACTGCCTTTTCCTTCCTAAAAGAGATACTAATTTAGTGGAAAGTGAGATTCAAAAGGAAATTTCTTTATTTTCTAAGGAGGAATCTTGTTTAGACCCAACAGAACATTCTCTACTTAATAAGAAAAACAAAGATGACTCAACATACAAGTAAGTAATTTTGAACATTAGCCAGATGTCAACTGAAGTCTAGATAAGACATAGATAAGATTGGTCCAAATTTCCTTGTGTCCTCTGTGGAATGTTCAATGACTACCTCAAGATTTCTCCAAAATTTGGGGGATTGGTAGGTGCGTATGAATGAGTGACTTATATTATCGGGGCCATATTTGGTTCTTATTTCTTGACTACATTGATTCTTGATATGTATTAAGTGCCATCTAGTCTTTTACTGCTACTCCATCATCAATCTAATTGTGAAAATTTGCCCCTTTCTTCAAAAACAATCTATCTATCTATCTATCTATCTATCTATCTATCTATCTATCTATCTATCTATCTTAGAATGTGTATCAGATTTTACTCCTGGTTTTGATAAAGTGCACAGCGGTTTATGTGACAAAAGTTCAAAGAGCTTAACTTTGAAGTTAGACATCACTTCCTTAAGGCTTCTCGTCTCTCTATGTTGCTCAGACGTTCTTCTCTTCACATCACTCTGCTAGATTCCATATTTACATTTCATTTATGCTCTCATGTTAAGGAGTTTAGTTCTTTTGTTTTCTACACTTTTGCTAAACCATGCTCTCATAACTTAACTTTCATGCTAAATGGCTATTTTATTCTTGTAGAGATAGATATCTGAGCTTATTACTTGGAGAATAATAAAAATATTTTGGCGCTTTTGATTTATTATTTGTTCAATGTGAGAAAAGAAATGGGGTTTACTCAGAGCTGACAAGAAAATAGTCATTCTATAAAACTCCCACCATGCTTTAATTCATTGCTTCTGTAACATTCTATGTTAAACAGGTGAAACACCAGAGAGAACTGTCTTTTCTTCTTCCCTTTAACTCAGTAGTCACAGTTTTCCTTTCACTGAGGATGGGAAGAAGGAAAAAGGTAGCATTGCTGTTCTTGAGGCTTGGCAGATGTGCAAAGCATTCTCTTTTTTCTGGGGGTATAGTTGAGGGTTCTTTGATGACCCCACTGAGGGATCTCTGCATTGCACATTTCCAAACTCATGAACTCTTTGACTAGTTTCTTATGGCTCACCTCCTCCAGCTCATGCCCCTTGTAATACACATCACAGTGTTTTCTGTTACAGTCCTGCACATTGCCAAGCCTCCCCTCTTGCACAACTCCTGGTTTAACTTCTGCTTGGCCTGTAGGAAACTCAAACATTTTGCAATACCAACTTTTCCACTGTTTCCCCACTGCTCCCTGCAACTCCAGGTACAGCTTTTTGCCTGTAGACTTCTTCAGGTGTTAGTGAGACACAGGTCTGCTGTGTCCCTCTCATTGTTACCCTAGAGGACTACCTTAAGCTATTTGGGCTATGTGAATAGAGGCTAGAAATGAAAAAGAGAAAAGCTTTCCTCCCCTCCAATGGAGTGGGTCTCAATTCACACATAAGACTCTCTCTGATGCAATCATCCCTTATAGTTTCCGCATCCTTTGTTTATATCTTAAAGTGATGGTTGGCTTAAGTGTCACAAGATCAGTTTTGGAGCTACCTTCTTGGCAAAATGACTCTTCACACAGAGTCTAACCACCTCATTTTGGCATGTAGAAATACTTTTGTATTAAACATCTCAATAAATTACTTTGCTTTCAAACTTTTTGAACCTCCGCTGACACATAGATAGAAGAAAAAAATTCCCCTTTAGCATTCTGTTATGCTAAATTACTTTGGTATTTGTTCTTCCATTTCCTTGAATTATGGCTTGCAGAAATGTCAAGTGGCATTTTACATTTAGGCAGAAGGATATTTTCAGTTTAGAAATCTAGCATGAGCAATCCTGTACAATCATAGAATGCTGGGAATGGAAAGACTTTACATAGGATAAAATGTCCCCACCCACCTACCCTACTCAATCTTACAGATGAAGAAATAAAGTTACCTTAGGGTAACACAGACAGATCATTTTTTTTCTTTCCATCACATGCATAGCAGAGTGAAGGCAAGTATTACAGATTCCTGTTTAAGAGTATTTCAGCCAAGATACTAATTTCCCATTCCTTATGACAAACTCAGTTATCCTTTAAACATTTTTTTTTTTTTGAGGCTGTCTTGCTTTGTTGTCCAGCTGAAATGCAGTGGTGCGACCACAGCTCACTGCAGCATCAACTTCCCTGGCTCAATCAATCCTCCCACCTCAGCCTCCCAAGTAGCTCGGACTACAGGCATGCCACCACACCCAGTTTGCACACACACACACACACACATTTTTTTCTTTATAGATGAGGTTTTGTCATGTTGCTCAGGCAGGTCTGGAACTCCTAGGTTGAAGTGATCCTTCCACTTCACCCTCCCAAAGTGCTGGGATTACAGACGTGAGCCATCACTCCCATCCTAAACACTTTTTTAAACCAATCTTTTCCTAGATTCAAACATTGGCTGTTTGAACTCTTCTTTCCTGACTTCATTTTCAGTTAATTTTATTTTCTATTGTTCCTGGAAACTTTGTATTATGAAAATCAGTGCTGATATATAGGGTTTTTTAAAATTTATTTTAATTTCTGGGGTACATGTGTAGGATGTACAGCTTTGTTACATAGGTAAATGTATGCCATGGAGGTTTGCTGCACCTATTGACCTATAACCTAAGTATTAAACCCAGCATGCAGTAGCAATTTTTCATGATGCTCCCCCTCCCCCATCCCCCACCCCTGGACAGGTTCCAGTGTGTGTTGTTCCCCTCCTTGTGTCCATGTGTTCTCATTGTTCAGCTCCCACTTTTGAGTGAGAACATGTGATGTTTTGTTTTCTGTTCCTGAGTTAGTTTGCTGAGGATAATGGCTTCCAGCTCCATCCATGTCCCTGCAGAGGACATTATCTCATTCCTTTTGTGGCTGTATAGTATTCCATGGTGTATATGTAACATTTTCTTTATCCAGTCTATCATTGATGGGCATTTGGGTTGATTCCATTTATTGGCTATTGTGAATAGTGCTGTAATGAACGTATGTGTGCTTGTATCTTTATAACAGAATGATTTATATTCCTTTGGGTATATACCCAGTAATGAGATTGCTGGGTCAAATGGTAGTTTAAATACTATTTCTGGTTCTAGGTCTTTGAGGAATCACCACACCATCTTAGACCATGAGTGAACTAATTTACATTCCCATCAACAGTGCAAAAGCATTCGTATCTCTCTGCAGCCTCACCAGCATCTGTTGTTTCTTGACTTTTTAATAATTGCTATTGTGACTGGCATGAGATGGTATCTCACTGTGGTTTTGATTTGCATTTCTCTAATGATCAGTGATGTTGAGCCTTTTTTCATTTGTTTGTTGGTTGCATAAATGTCTTCTTTTGAGAAGTGTCAGTTTATGTCTTTGCCCACTTTTTAATGGGGTTGTTTTTTTTTTTCTTGTAAATTTGTTTAAGTTCCCTGTGGACTCTGAATACTAGCTCTTTGTCTGATGGATAAGTTGCAAAAATTTTCACCCATTCTGTAAGTTGTCTGTTCACTCTGATGACAGTTTCTTTTGCTGTGCAGAAGCTTTTTAGTTTAATATCTCATTTGGCAACAAAAGCCAAAGTTGACAAATGGGATCTAATTAAACTAAAGAGCTTCTGCACAGCAAAAGAAACTACCATCAGAGTGAACAGGCAACCTACAATATGGGAGAAAATTTTTGCAACCTACTCATCTGACAAAGGGCTAATATCCAGAATCTACAATGAACTCAAACAAATTTACAAGAAAAAAACAAACAACCCCATCAAAAAGTGGGCAAAGGATATGAACAGACACTTCTCAAAAGAAGACATTTATGCAGCCAAAAGACACATGAAAAAATGCTCATCATCACTGGCCATCAGAGAAATGCAAATCAAAACCACAGTGAGATATGATCTCACACCAGTTAGAATGGCAATCATTAAAAAGTCAGGAAACAACAGGAGCCGGAGAGGATGTGGAGAAATAGGAACACTTTTACACTGTTGGTGGGACTGTAAACTAGTTCAACCATTGTGGAAGTCAGTGTGGCGATTCCTCAGGGATCTAGAACTAGAAATACCATTTGACCCAGCCATCCCATTACTGGGTATATACCCAAAGGACTGTAAATCATGCTGCTATAAAGACACATGCACACGTATGTTTATTGCGGCATTATTCACAATAGCAAAGACTTGGAACCAACCCAAATGTCCAACAATGATAGACTGGATTAAGAAAATGTGGCACATATACACCATGGAATACTATGCAGCCATAAAAAATGATGAGTTCATGTCCTTTTCAGGGACATGGATGAAACTGGAAATCATCATTCTCAGCAAACTATTGCAAGGACAAAAACCAAACACTGCATGTTCTCACTCATAGGTGGGAATTGAAGAATGAGAACACATGGACACAGGAAGGGGAACATCACACTCTGGGGACTGTTGTGGGGTTGGGGGAGGGTGGAGGGATAGCATTAGGAGATATAACTAATGCTAGATGACGAGTTAATGGATGCAGCACACCAGCATGGCACATGTATACATATGTAACTAACCTGCACATTGTGCACATGTACCCTAAAACTTAAAGTATAATAATAATAAAAAAAGAAAAGAAAAGAAAAGAAAAGAAAAAAAAAGTAAAGGTTAAAAACGGAAAAAAAAAATATCTCATTGGTCAATTTTTAGTTTCATTGCAATTACTTTTGATGTTTTCATCTTGAAATCTTTGCCTGTACCTATATCCTGAATCACATTGCCTAGATTTTCTTCTAGGGTTTTTATAGCTTTGGGTTTTACAATTAAGTCTTTAATCCATTTTGAGTTAATTTTTGTATAAGATGTAAGGAAGGAGACCGGTTTCAATTTCCTGCATATGGCTAGCCAGTTCTCCTAGCACCATTTATTAAATAGGGAATCCTTTCTTCATTGCTTGTTTTCATCAGGTTTGTTGAAGATTAGATGGTTGTAGATGTGTGGTCTTATTTCTTAGTTCTCTATTCTGTTCCATGGGTCTCTGTGTCTGTTTTTGTACCAGTACTATGCTGTTTTGGTTACTGTAGCCGTGTAGTACAGTTTGAAGTTGGGTAGCCTGATGCCTCCAGCTTTGTTCTTTTTGGTTAGCATTGTTTTGGCTATACAGGCTCTTTTTTGGTTCCATATGAATTTTAAAATAGTTTTTTTCTAATTCTGTCAAGAATGTCAAGAGTACTAGTTTACAGTCCCACCAACAGTGTAAAAGTGTTCCTATTTACCCACATCCTCTCCAGCACCTGTTGTTTCCTGACTTTTTAATGCTCACCATTCTAACTAGTGTGAGATGGTATCTCATTATGGTTTTGATTTGCATTTCTCTGATGGCCAGTGATGATGAGCATTTTTTCATGTGTCTTTTGGCTGCATAAATGTCTTCTTTTGAGAAGTGTCTGTTCATATCCTTTGCCCACTTTTTGATGGGGTTGTTTGTTTTTTTCTTGTAAATTTGTTTGAGTTCATTGTAGATTCTGGATATTAGCCCTTTGTCAGATTAGTAGATTGCAAAAATTTTCTCCCATTCTGTAGGTTGCCTGTTCACTCTGATGGTAGTTTCTTTTGCTGTGCAGAAGGTCGTTAGTTTAATTAGATCCCATTTGTCAATTTTGGCTCGTTCAACCATTGTGGAAGTCAGTGTGGCGATTCCTCAGGGATCTAGAACTAGAAATACCATTTGACCCAGCCATCCCATTACTGGGTATATACCCAAAGGATCATATATCATGCTGCTATAAAGACACATGCACACATATGTTTATTGTGGCACTATTCACAATAACGACGACTTGGAACCAACCCAAATGTCCAACAATGATAGACTTGATTAAGAAAATGTGGCATATATACACCATGGAATACTATGCAGCCATAAAAAATGATGCGTTCATGTCCTTTGTAGGGACATGGATGAAGCTGGAAACCATCATTCTCAGCAAACTATTGCAAGGACAAAAAACCAAACACCACATGTTCTCACTCATAGGTGGGAATTGAACAATGAGAACACATGGACACAGGAAGGGGAACATCACACACTGGGGCCTGTTGTGGGGTGGGGGGAGGGTGGAGGGATAGCATTTGGAGATATACCTAATGTTAAATGATGAGTTACTGGGTGCAGCACAACAACATGGCACTTGTATACGTAACTAACCTGCACGTTGTGCACATGTACCCTAAAACTTAAAGTATAATAAAAAAAATTTCAAGAGTAGTTTGATGGGAATAGCATTGAATCTATAAATTACTTTGGGCAGTATGGCGATTTTCATGATATTGATTCTTTCTGTTCATGATCATGAAATGTTTTTCCACTTGTTTGTGTCCTCTCTGATTTCCTTGAGCAATGGTTTGTAGTTCTCCTTGAAGAGGGTTCTTCACTTTCCTTGATAGCTGTATTCCTAGATATTTTATTCTCTGTAGCGATTGTTAATGGGAATTCATCTATGATTTGGCCCTCTGCTTAGCTGTTATTTGTGTATAGGAGTGCTTGTGATTTTTGCACATTGTTTTTGTATCCTGAGTCTTTGCTGAAGTTATCAGCTTAAGAAGCTTTTGGGCTGAGTCAATATGGTTTTCTAGATATAGTATCATGTCACCTGCAAACAGAGAGAGTTTGACTTCCTTTCTTCCTATTTGAATACGCTTTATTTCTTTCTCTTGCCTGATTGCCCTGGCCAGAACTTCCAATACTACCCTGAATAGGAGTGGTGAGAAAGGGCATCTTTGTCTTGTGCCGGTTTTCAAGGGGAATGCCTCCAGCTTTTGCCCATTCAGTATGATATTGGCTATGAGTTTGGCATAAGTGACTCTTATTATTTTGAGATATGTTCCTTCAATATATATTTTATTCAGAGTTTTTAACATGAAGAAATGTTGAATTGTATAGCAGGCATTTTCTGTACCTATTGAGGTAATCATGTGGTTTTTGTTCTTAGTTTTGTTTATGTGATGAATTACGTTTATTGATTTACCTACGTTGAGTCAGCCTTGAATCCTGGGGATGAAGCCAACTTGATTGTGGTGGATACGCTTTTTGATGTGCTGCAGAATTTGGTTTGCAAGTATTTTATTGAGGATTTTTGCATCAATGTTCATCAGGGATATTGGCTGAAGTTCTTTTTTCGTTGTTTTGTTTTGTCTTGACCAGGTTTTGGTATCAGGATGATACTGAGCTCATAAAATGAGTGAGGGAAGAGTCACTCCTTTTCAATTTTTTGGAATAGTTTCAGAAGAAATGGTACCAGCTCCTTTTTGTATCTCTGGTAGAATTCAGCTGTGAATCACTCTGGTCCTTGGCTTTTTTGGTTTGTAGGCTATTTATTACTACCTCAATTTCAAAACTCATTACTGGCCTCTTCAGGGATTCAACTTCTTCCTGGTTCAGTCTTGAGAGGGTGTTTGTGTCCAGGAATTTATCCATTTCTTCTAGATTTCTTAGTTTATTTGCACAGAGGTGTTTATAGTATTCTTTGATGGTTGTATTTCTGTGGGGCCAGTGGTGATATCCCTTTTATCTTTTTTTATTGTGTCTATTTGATTCTTCTGTCTTTTCTTCTTTATTAATTCAGCTAGCAATCTATCTATTTTCTTAATTTTTTTCAAAAAGCCAGTTTAGGGATTTGTTGATATTTTGAAGGGTGTGTGTGTGTGTGTGTGTGTGTGTGTGTGTGTGTGTGTGTCTGCATCTCCTTCAGTTCTGCTCTGACCTTGGTTATTTCTTGTCTTCTGCTAGCTTAGGGGTCTGTTTGCTCTTGGTTCTCTAGTTCATTAGTTGTGATGTTAGGATGTTGATTTGAGATCTTTCTAGCTTTTTGATGTGGGCATTTAGTGCTGTAAATTTTTCTGTTAACACTGCATTAGCTGTGTCCCAGGGATTTTGGTACATGGCCTCTTTCTTCTCATTAGTTTCAAGGAACTTCTTAATTTCTGTCTTAATTTCATTACTTACCCAGGAGTCATTCAAGAGCAGGATGTTCAACTTCTATGTAGTTGTGTGGTGTTTAGTGAGTTTCTTAATATTGAGTTCTAATTAAATTGCGCTGTGGTCTGAGAGACTGTTATGATTTCAGTTCTTTTGCATTTGCTGAGGAGTGTTTTACTTCCAATTATGTGATCAATTTTAGAGGAAGTGCCATGTGGCACCAAGAAGAAAGTATATTCTGTTGTTTTTGGGTGGAGATTTCTGTAAATCTCTATCAGGTCCACTTGATCTAGAGCTGAGTTCAAGCCCTGAATATCTTTTACACTTTCTGTCTCGATATCTGTCTAATATTGACAGTTGGGTGTTAAAGTTTCCCACTATGATTGTGTGGGAGTCTAAGTCTCTTTGCAGGTCTCTAAGAACTTGTTTTATGATTCTGGGTTCTCCTGTATTGGGTGCATATATATTTAGCATAGTTAGCTCTTCTTGTTGAATTGAACACTTTACCATTATGTAATGCCTTTTTTTGTCTTTTTTGATCTTTGTTAGTTTAAAGTCTGTTTTGTCAGAAACTAGGATTGCAACCCCTGCATTTTTTCTGCTTTCCATTTGCTTGGTAAAATTTCCTCCATTCCTTTATTTTGAGCCTATGTGTGTCTGGCATGTGAGACACATCTTTTGAAGACAGCACACCAATGGGTCTTTACTCTTTATGCCATTTGCCATTCTGTGTCTTTTAATTGGGGTATTTAGCCCATTTATATTTAAGGTTGATATTGTTATGTGTGAATTTGATTTTGTCTCCATGATGCTGGCTGGTTATTTTGCAGACTTGTTAATGTAGTTTCTTCATGGTGTCATTGGTCTGTGTACTTCAGGGTGTTTTTGTATTGACTGATAACGGTTTTTCCTTTTCATATTCAGTGCTTCCTTCAGGAGCTCTTGCAAGGCAGGCCTAGTGGTGATGAATTCCCGCAGCATTTTCTTGTCTGAAAACAATCTTGTTTCTCCTTTGCTTATTAAGCTTAGTTTGGTTTGATATGGAATTCTGGATTGGAAATTCTTTTCTTTAAGAATGTTGAATATTGGCCCCCTCCCCCCAATCTCTTCTGGTTTGTAGAGTTTCTGCTGAGAGGTCCGCTGTCAGTCTGATGGGCTTCCCTTTGTAATTGACTTGGCCTTTCTCTCTGGCTGCCCTTTAATTTTTTTCCTTCATGTTAACCTTGGAAAGTCTGAGGATTATGTGTCTTGGGGTTGATCTTTTCATGTAGTATCTTACTGGGGTTCTCTGGATTTCTTGAATTTGAATGTTGGCCTGTCTTGCTAGGTTGAGAAAGTTCTCCTGGATGATATCCTGAAGTATGTTTTCCAACTTGTTTCCATTCTCTCCGTCTCTTGCAGGTACCCCAATCAGTCATAGGTTTGGTTATATAATCTCATAGTTCTCAGAGGCTTCATTTGTTCTTTTTCATTCTTCTTTCTCTTATCTTGTCTGCCTGTCTTATTTCAGCAAGATAGTCATCAAGCTCTGAGATTCTGTCCTCCGTGTGGACTATTCAGCTATTGACACTTGTGATTGCATTGTGAAGTTCTCTTGTGTTTTTCAGCTCTTTCAGGTCATCTTTGTTACTTTCTAAACTAGTTATTCTGGCTAACAGCTCCTGTAATGTTTTATCGTGGTTCTTAGCTTCTTTGCATTGTGTTAGAACATACTCTTTTACCTCAGTGAAGTTTATTACCCACCTTCTGAAGCCTACTTCTGTCAATTCATCCATCTCTGCCTCAGCCCAGTTCTGTGCCGTTTCTGGAGAGGTGTTACAATCATTTGGAATAGAAGAGGCACCCCAGCTTTTTGAATTTTCAGTGTTTTTGTGTGGATTTTTTTCTCATCTTTGTGGGTTTATCTACCTTCAATCTTTGAGGCTCCTGACCTTTGGATGAGATTTTGTGGGGTATTTTTTGTTGATGTTGTTGCTTTCTGTTTGTTTTTCTTTTAACAGTAAGGCCCCTCTTCTGTAGAGCTCCTCTTCTGCAGTTTGCTGGGGGTCCACTCTAGGCTCTATTTACCTGGGTCCCTCATGCACCTGGAGGTATCACCAGTGGAGGCTGCAGAAGAGCAAAGATGGCTGCCTGCTCCTTCCCCTGGGAGATCCATCCTGGAGGTGCACTGACCTGATGCCAGTGGGAGCTCTCCTGTATGAGGTTTCTGGTGACCCCTGTTTGGAGGTCTCACCTACTCAGGAGGCACAGAATCAGGGACCCTCTTAACGAAGCACTCTATCTGTCCCTTGGTGGAATGGGTGTGCTGCCCTGGCGGGAATTCCACTCGTCTGGACTGCCTTGATTCCTCAGAGCCAGCAGAAGGAAAGGCTAAGTCTACTGAACCAGAGACCATGGCCACTGTTTCCCCCAGGGGCTCCATTCCAGAGAGATCAGAGTTCTGCCTATAAACCCCTGGCTGGAGTCACTGAAGTTACCACAGGGAGGCCCCACCCAAAGAGGAGGGATGGATCCGGGTCCCACCTAAAGAAGCAGTTGGCCACGATCTGCCACAGCCACTGTGCTGCATTGTGGGGAATTCCTCCCAGGCCAAACTGCCCAGTCTCCCCAACACCGGCAGGGGAAAACGGCTGATTGGAGCCACAGTGATGGTGACTGCCCCTCCCTCTGGGTACTTGGTTGTCTTAGGCAGTCTCCAGCATGCTGCCACTGGCTGCAACCCAAGCGTTCACCAAGAATCTGCACAGTTCTGTGCTTGGAACCCAAGGCCCTGGTGGTGATCTGATCCATGGGTTTCACAGATCGGTGGAAAAAAACATGGTTTCCCTGGGAGGTAGCTCAGTCACTCACCAATATATAGGTTTTATAGTTCACAGACTTCTCTTAAAACTGGAGCTTTGTTGTCTACCAGATTAAATAGGAGTACAGCAAACTGATCTTCTCATGTTGATTATAAGATTATATAGGCGTCGGTAGACTTCTGGGGGTGAGAGGCAAAGTTATTTCTACTGTACAGCATTTTGTAAAATGAAAAAATAACGCATCAAAAAGTACTTGTGATCTTTAAAATTTCTGTCTTAATCTAATTCAGATGAGACTGGATTGATATAATTTTAAGACTTTGTAATAATGAGATAGTATAGAAAAATGTCATTTAGGAATTAAACTAATAAAAAAAGGGTTAAAAACATATCCTCAGAATTGATTATCATGTACATCCTTCAGTTCTCCCAGGAATATGATCAGGAATCCTTTGCAGAAATTATACAAACACAATAAAATTGTCAGCTGTAGAATGTCCTTTGTGCTTTCCATCTAGTACGGAAAATATTATAAATCATTTTATTTTTAAGAAATATTCTTCCGAAGAATGTGCCCCTTTACCTAGTCAGATTGGTAAATTCAAGGAAAGAATCATGCTAGCTCTCATCCATATGAAAAAATATGAAAGAAAAATAAAAATGTGAAAGAATTTAGACTACAGGAGAAAAAGTACACTTGGTGTATATATGCAGGTGGGGGTATGTTTAGATGGGGGTTGGTGCACAGGAAGAAAGATGAAGGAAAATAGAAAAAGTCTAAAGAAAATAGAAGAAACAAGAAACATGAAGAAAAAATTAAGTGTCTTAAAGCTATTTTCTCATTTTAACACCTAAGAGTCTCTTTCCAGGTTAAAAAATTGGGGTGTATATTATCTTCTGGCTTATACAAACATACCTGGCTTTTCACAGGGCTGAAAGTATTTTATAATACTATTTGTGAGAAGTAGGTAGATGGTAAAGAGTTATCTTCAAGTTAAGTCCTGGGGAGATGAATATAGAATTTAAGAGATTAATAGAAAGGCCTAATTCTAAGTTAACAATTGATATGGAGAAATAGATTTATCCTTTTCCTAGAGTCTGCAAAACTCATACTAGCTTTAAAAAACTTCTAAAAAAATAAATAAGTGAAGGGATAAAATAGTAAAAAAAACTACAGTGGACATATATTTTTCCTAGTTTATAGGAATATTTGTTTTTTGGACTCATGTAAAATTATCTAACCTAGGAAAATTATAGATAAAATGAATAATTCAGAAAATACAGTTTCAGAATATTTCCTTATTATAAAATTAATACAGGGATTACAGGCATATGCCACCATGCCCAGCTCATTTTTGTATTTTTAGTAGAGACGGGGTTTCATCATGTTGGCCAGGCTGGTCTTGAACTCCTGACCTCGTGATCTGCCCGCCTCGGCCTCCCAAAGTGCTGGGATTATAGGCATGAGCCGCTGTGCCTGGCCAAAAATACTACATTTTTATTACGGGAAAATTTGGAAGTACAAATAAGCAAAAGGTGAAAATATCTGTGGTAAAGCCATTGTTAACATTAGGCATTTCACTTTTAAGACCTTGCTTTAGGCATACTTACAACAATGAAAAAATGTACATTTTATAAAAATAACTGTGACTTAGTAGACACAGTTTATAACCTGTTTTATCGCTCAAAAATATGCAGTAGGCACATTTTCATATTAGTTAATATGAGTATCCATGGACAACAACATTTATAATGACTTGTAGCTTTTTAACCATTTTCTTTATTTCAAATATGTAGACTGTTTACAAATTTTAACTGGGAAAACAGTTCTTTAAATACCTTCATGTGCACATATTAGAATATCTTATTGAATTCATAATTAGAATACATTCTTTGAGAGGAATTGCTGAGTCAAAAGGCATAAAGGCCTTTGGGTCATCTTGCTAAAGGTCATCTTGCTGTCTGGACATATCAGCTCTCCCTCCAGCAGCAATACAAATGGTTGCTTTCCTGCCTTCGAACCAAAAATGGTTGTTATTGCTGTCTTAAAACTGTCGCTATGATATCTTATTGCTTTAAACTAAAGTTTTTGATTATTTGTGAAAGTAAACATTTTTCAGGTTTATTAACCTTTGATAATTCAATAATAAATTTTAAAGGGGTATTCAAAGTCTACTAGACTAACTCCTATGGCATCTTTAAGAGAAACACATCCCAGCCTTTTTGAATAGTTCCTATATGACACACTCACATCTCACAGATACCCTTCTCTATTATTGAACTATTCTTAATGTCTCTAATGTTAAGTAAAATCCATCTGTAGAACTCTCACTTACTGATCTTCATTCTTATTCTAGAGCAACAAAGAGCATAAACTACTCCATTTTTTATTATCTGACACATTTTCCTTTGGTTACCATTTAAAAAATTGCTTATCTGGAAGGGATTCATTATTAGAAACAAGTATAAAGACTCAGATGAGAAATGAAACAAAAATTCTACTAGTTTCCCAGTAAGTTTATACAAGGCAGAGGGCACACCTCAAATTAATGTTTCTTAAACATGGAAAATAATTATGATGTTTTAAATTCCATGTTATTGTTAGGAGGGAACTGATATTTAATATTATTTAAATGCTATTGATTACCTAATTATTCTGTCAGTAGATTTCATGTGAGAAATTAAATTAGAAAATAGATAAATAGCTATAAGAAAAAATACACAAAATATTAAAATCCCATTTTAAATTAGGCTTTATGTGATGTAAATACTTGACGAATTGGCAGTCTACTTTCACCAACAATCTGGCAATAACTATCCTATGTCCATGTATGACAAATGAAAGCATATGATACTCTATTCAATTTTTGAAATTTGAACTTTAAAAATACTAGAACAGCAAATTGTTATTTGGGGGAGTGCCACATCTTTTTATTTTTTGTCTGATCATTCTGATAGTTCTGAAGAATATTGGAGCTTGCTGTAGGGGGGTGTTAGAACTCCCTGCTTTGAGTGAAAAATATTGTCTTGCTTTTGCTTAAAGTGATAGTAGCCAATACCAACTGAGCCCTGATTATATTTCAGGGCCTGTTCTAAGGTCTTTATGTGTTTACCTCATTTAATTCTCACTGTAATCCTAGAAGATAGCTACTATTGTCATCCCCATTTCACAACTTGAAAAACAGAGGCGGAGAAGTTAACAGATTTGCACAAGGTCAACCAACCAAGAGGTGAACTAGGGATACAAATGCAGGCATTCAGCCTCCAGAGTTAGTACTTTATCAGTGTTCTGTGTTGCCTGTCCAACAAGCATCATGTGAAAATATTGACAAATTATTGGTTTCTGAGTCAAGCCATCAAATATTTTATCAAGTACCTGCTATGTATAAGCCACTACTCTAAGCATTTTTCACTTCCTTTTTGATGCCTAGGAGGGTACTTGAGTAATTGTCACAGTCATTATACCTCCCTTCCACAGCCAGAGCCAAGAGAAGTGAGATTAGTTAGAGCCTTTCCTCCTCATAGGATTGATGCCAAAGCTGGTGGATCCCATAGTAGATCGCCTTCCTGCATCACCTACTAAGGCATTTTTGCAAAATGTTTTAAAACTCTATTTAAGCCTGGTATTACATTATTCTGCTTCTTTGTCTTCATCCATCACTTCTCCTCTTGAGAATATTTGCCTTTTTCCAGTTCCCTGTGCATTTTCAGAGTAACCACTCCTGCAAATGTCAGATGTCTGTCTGTGAAAAGGAAGCAATAGATTGTTGACTTAATTTGTTGTGATTTCCAAGAGATTCTCTCCTACCGTCTGACTACTTTTCTCCCTCTGTGGATAAAACTCTTTAGTGGAAATGGGCAAAATGTTTTGCTTTATATAAAAGCTACTTGATTTAGATTCCACAGGATGAGATAGTCAGAAAGCATATGGTCTGAAAACAGGGAAGAGTTTAGAGTGTTTTGGAAAAAAAAATCAAGATATATTGTTAACTACTCTAAAGGGAAACCTCTTTACCGTGGCCCCTGCCCCCTCAATCTTTTGCACATGTTTACATGAATAATTCTTTTCTAGAAAAAGGTGTATTCTTAATCCAATAACTGCAAGGCCTAACTGTACCACACTCCATGCTTTCAGTATCCAACACCAACTTCTTATTTTTGTAGATCCCCTTACTATCTTAAAATACCTCTCTAAGGATATCATTATTTCTTGTCTTGAAAGCCTAAATAGTGGCTAAATACTAATTCTTACTCACATGAGATGGCTTATGGAGAGGGATGTCATTCCAGTGCAATTGGGGAAAAACTGCCCACCTATCCAATGACAAAGCTCTCCTAAAAGAAAAAAAAATCTGTAATTCCAAGTAATTTATGTTAATACTCTCCTGATTCAAGGAAATCATGATTAACTACCCCCCCATCCCCTCTTAAATGTGCATTGTGCTTGAAAACTTGCTTCCAAAGAGTAACATATGGAAAAAGGGAAAAAGTAACTGTACAGTAGCTATTGTAAACATTACTAAAAACTTGGCACATACAACTGTGGCCAGGTAATTGAGGTTAACATCAACCATGGAAGTCAGTTTGATAGCATGCACCCTTGGTTTGATGCAATAAGAGCAGCAGTTCACCTCTGTTGCTTTCCTCTCAACAACTCATAACCCCAGTCTCACCATGAGAAGAATATCAGACAAACCCAAACTGAGGGATATTCTACCAAAAAAATCCAACAAGTATTTCTTAAAACTATCAAGATCATAATAAACAAGAAAAATCGTCACAGGCCAGAGGCTAAGGAGTTAGACAACAAAATATAATGTTGACGTTACAGAAAAATCACATTAAGAAAAAACTAGTAAAACTCTAATAAAATATGGAATTCAGTTAATAGTACTGTACCAATATTGATTTCTTTATTGTGACAAATGGTAGTGTAAGATGTTATAATAGGGAAAATTGGCTGAGGGATATACTGGAGCTCTACTAACTTTTCTGCAAATCTAAAACCTCTAAAAGGAAAAGTTTATATATGAGAAAGAAATTAATACATTACTACTTAAAGCCATGCAAATAGCATTTGATATTAAGTTTAAGAGAGATACACAGACTTTTTACTTGTATTGATATTTTAAAATCTTTTAAAATTGGAAGATACGGTAAAAATAGAGTGGAGGAAAAAGAAAGCTGGAAATGAACATTACTTGAATGCTATTATTTATTAGGCACATTTCTGAACTTTCATCCATCTTATCTCCTTTAAATCCACAGCAAGAGTCCCATTACATTGAGGGGAAAATTGAGGCTGAAAGTATGGGAAACAACTCAGAGTCTTATAGCTACAAAATCCATAGAAGATATAAGAATAAAAGTTAGGGAGTGGAAGAATGGTTAACTATAAAGGGCTGAGGGATGCAGGGAAGGGAGGCAGAAGGAAGAGGGTGAGTCAAGATCCCCAGGACTCTCCACGATTTTGAGACGATGGATGTGTTTTCTGGCTTGGTGCTCTGAAGATACTAATAACAATTTTTGGAAACATAACTTGTAGCTGTTAAGGTTGAAGTCTATGACAGTGAATTTTAAATAGATTTGAGATCATTTTCTATTTTCTCACAAGATTATATACAGCTATGTAATGATTTTATTTCCCATGTTTTATTGATAAAAATCCTTTCTGTGAATTCAAGTTACGCTAAAATTTTCTTATAGATTCATATGAGAAAGCCTCAGAAATACTGAACTTCTTTGCATTTTGGATGCCATAACCATAAAGATACACGCCTAACACTGAATAAATAAGCTTTGACACAAAGGATTGATGCTTACTTCTCATTATATAATTTATTAATAAGGCAAGGATAATGTACGTGTTTCTGTAAAATTTTCTTCTAAATAATTTTTTCTCTAACCTTGTTGCTATGGGGACAGGGCTTTGCTTAATTAGACTCTTGGACACTCTGGCTCTCACTCTTTTCTATTATCACCTGGCTAGCAGGCATTTTGTTAAAAGATAGGGCTTGATTAGTATAAACAAATATCACTACTTCGGTTCACAGGAATAGATTTTTTGTTTTTGTTTTTGTTTTTTTTGGTCAAAGATACACATAGCCAGAAAGAGTTTCTCCATCCCTGTGGTTAATAATGTATTTCATCATGAAATATTTTCTTCCAGTGTCAGACCATCAGAAGATATAAATTTAGATATAAAATATAAGGAAAGAAGTACCTGCATGAAAGAAACACAAAAACCTTATTATGGTGAAGTTATAAAAAAATCATTCAGTAAGTAGTCACTGTTGTTAATGTATTTTTATAATATTATTTAACAGATTAGTGTGAATACAAATGTCTACTCTGTGTGTCAGGAATGTTCCTATTCCTTAATAAACATGAATGTAATGTTCTGTGAACCCCATTTAACAAAGGAGAAAAGTGAGGTACAGGACATTAAGTCACCTGTCCAAGGCTCCACAGAATACTAGCGGAAAAAGTGTAAGGTCTTAGTCAGTGTATTGGACCACTCTTGCATTGCTATAAAAAAATGCCAGAAACTGTATAATTTATTTAAAAAGAAAAAGGTTTAATTGGCTCACAGTTCTGCAGGCTGTACAGGAACCATAATGTTGGTATCTGCTTGGTGGAAGGTGAAGCAATAGCAAGCACATCACAGGGTGACAGCAGGAGCAAGAGGGAGTGGGGGAGGTGCTACACACTTTCAACAGCCAGATCTCTGTGGACTTGCTACCATGAGGAGAGCACCAAGCCGTGAGGGATCCACCCTCATGACCTGAACACCTCTCACCAGGCCCCGTCTCCAACACTGGGGATTACATTTCAACATGAGATTTGGGTAGGGACAAATATCCAGGCTATATCATTCCATCCCTGGCACCTCCAAATCTCATGTCCTTCTCCCATTGAAAAATAAAACCATTCCTCCCAATAGTCCTCCAAAGTCTTAACTCATTCCAGCATTAACTTAAAAGTACAAAGTTCAAAGTTCTCATCTGAAACAAGGTAAGCTGCTTCCACCTATAAGCCTGTAAAATAAAAAAGTCATTTACTTTCAAGATAAAATGGGGGCATAGGCATTGGATAAACATTTTCATTCTAAAAGGAGAAACTGGCCAAAAGAAAGGGGCTCTAGGCTCCAGGCAAGTCTGAAATTCAGCAAGGCAGTCATTACGTCTTAAAGCTCCAAAATAATCTCCTTTGATTCCATGCGCACATCCAGGGCACAGTGGCACCAGGGGTGGGCTGCCAAGGTCTTGCACAGATTTGCCCCTGTGTCTCTGCAGGGTACAGCCCTTGTGGTTGTTCTCATGGGTTAGAGTTGAGTGCCTGTAGCTTCTTCAGGCACAGGATGCAAGCTGCCAGTGAATCTACCATTCTCAAGTATGGAGAACAGTGGCCCTCTTTACAGAGCTCCACTAGGCAGTGCCCCAGTGGGGACTCTGCATGAGACCTCCAACCCCACATTTCCCCTCTACTAGTGAGAGACAGGACTAGCTGGATTTCCTAGGCCGACTAACAATCCCTAAGCCTAGCTGGGAAGGTGACCGCTTCCACCTTTAAACATGGGGCTTGCAACTTAGCTCACACCTGACCAATCAGAGAGCTCACTAAAATGCTAATTAGGCAAAAACAGGAGGTAAAGAAATAGCCAATCATCTATTGCCTGAGAGCACAGCGGGAGGGACAAGCATCGGGATATAAACCCAGGCATTCGAGCCGGCAACGGCAACCACCTTTGGGTCCCCTCCCTTTGTATGGGAGCTCTGCTTTCACTCTATTAAATCTTGCAACTGCACTCTTCTGGTCCATGTTTGTTATGGCTCGGGCTGAGCTTTCAGTCGCCCTCCACCACTGCTGCTGGCCACCTTCACAGACCCACCGCTGACTTCCATCCCTCTGGATCTGGCAGGGTGTCTGCTGTGCTCCTGATCCAGCAAGGCACTCATTGCTGCTCCCGATCGGGCTAAAGGCTTGCCATTGTTCCTGCACGGCTAAGTGCCCTGGTTCGTCCTAATTGAGCTGAACACTAGTCACTGGGTTCCATGGTTCTCTTCCATGACCCACGGCTTCTAATAGAGCTATAACACTCACCGCATGGCCCATTCCTTGGAATCCGTGAGGCCAAGAACCCCAGGTCAGACAACAAGAGGCTTACCACCATCTTGGAAGTGGCCCACCGCCATTTTGGAAGCAGCCCGCCACCATCTTGGGAGCTCTGGGAGCAAGGACACCCCAGTAACACTAGCACTGTGGTAGCAGATATTCTCTGTGAGGGCTATGCCCTGCTGCAGGTTTCTTGCTGGGCACCCAGGATTTCTCTTGCATCCTCTGAAATCGAGGTGAGATTGTCAAGCCTCCTTCACTCTTGCACTCTGTGTACCTGCAGGCTTAACACCACGTGGAAGCCACCAAAGCTATGGCTTACACACTCTGGAGTGGCTGCCTGAGTTGTATCTGGGGCCCTTTGAGCCACAGCTGGAGCTGGAGCTGCACGGATATGGAGAACAGTGGTGTATTCCTTCTATGCCTGTGGGCCTGTGATGGGAGGGGCTGTCTAGAAGGCCTTCAAGGCCTTTTTTCTGTTGTCTTGGATATTAGCTCTTGGCTCTCTTTTAGTTATACAGATCTCTTTAGCAAGTGGTTGCTCCACAGCCTGCTTGAATTTCTCTCTTGATAATGCTTTTTTTAAATTTGTTTGTTTGCCACATGACTGGGCTGCAAATTTCCTAAACATTTATACTCTGCTTTTTCTTTAAATATAATTTCCACCTTTATTTCTTGCTCCCATATCTAAGCTAGGCTATTAGAAGCAGCCAGGGAACATCTTGAGTGCTCTGCTGTGTAGAAATTTCTTCTGCTAGATACCCTAAATTATCACTGTTAAGTTCAAACTTCCACAGATGCCTAGAGCATGAACACAATGCAGCTAAGGTCTTTGGTAAGGCATAATATGGGTGACCTTTGCTCCAGTTCCCAGTAAGTTCCTCATTTCCATCTGAGACTTTGTCAGCCTGTACTTCACTGTCCACATCACTATCAGGACTTTGGCTACTACCATTTAACCAGTCTCTAAGAATTTCCAAAATTCCCCTCATCTTCCTGTCTTCTGAGTCCTCCAAACTCTTCCAACGTCTGCCCATTAGCCAGTTCCAAAGCCACTTGCACGTTTTCAGGTATCTTTATAGCAATGCCCCACTCTTGTTACCAATTTTCTGTGTCAGGCCATTTTTGCATTGCCGTAAAGAAATGTCTGATATTGGGTAATTTATAAAGAAAAGGGGTTTAATTGGATCACGGTTCTGCAGGCTGTTCAGGTATGGCACCAACATTTGCCCACCTTCTGGTGAGGGCCTCAGAAACCTTACAGTGGTGGTGGAAGGTGAAGGGGAAGCAGGCAACATCACATGGTGAGAGTAGGAGCAAGCTGGGGGTGGTGCCACACACGTTTAAACCATCAGATCTTGTGAGAACCCACTCACTATTGCAAAAACAGCACCAAGGGAATGGCACCAAACAATTCATGAAAAATATGTGCCCATAATCCAGTCATCTTCTACCAGGCCCCATCTCCAATGCTGGGGATTACAATTCCACATGAGATTCAGAGGGGACAAATATCCTTACTATATTAGTCAGAAAATATGTGTGAAGTACCTGATACAGTTCTAAAAAAAGAGATGGCACCAGAATTTTTATTCTTTCCCTTAAGTATTTAAGAAATGAAGATGAATAAAAACTATTTTTGCTCGTCAGAAATCCTGAAGCCACACAGAACAATGCATTAGTCTAGTTGTTGACGGACCAGAAAACAATTAAAGACCAGTAACCTAAAACAAAGGAGTCATTATTATACTAAGGTATATTGCTTAGAAACAGATAAGAATCCTTCCTGAAGCTTTATTTTATAATGAAAATATGTTACTTACTACAAATATCTTTTCAACTTATGTCCAAGGGAATGTCACACTTTCATAGAGCAGATATGTTGATTTTTAAATTTCTGATGAAATTTTGCTGTAAAAATGGTGCATAATTATTTGTTAACATTCAATGCCCATTTATCAACTAATCTACTCCACGGAGTTTTTGTTAGGATTACACGAGATAGATATGTAAAGCACTTTGACTACTGCCTGGCATATTATAGCAACCAATACAATCTTATTAGTAATGTTGTTATTGTTATACCTTGGAGCATAACCTTTGGGATTAAACATATTTCAACTTAAGTCCATGATCTGCTATTTAACAGTTATATGAACTGAGACACAAATTACTAACGCATCCTAAGCCTCAGTTTCCTCATCTGTCTTAATGGCACGATACCTTACATGTTGTGAAGATTTCTTCTCTAATTTGACATAGCACATTAGTTTTCAAAGAGTGGTCCCTGGCCTAGCACCGTAAGCATCAACTAGAACTTATTAGAAATGTAAATTATGAGACCCTCATCCCTGCTTTCCTCCATTAGTCAGAAGCCAAGGGGGTCACATAGCAGTCTATGTTTTAGTAAGCCCTCCAGATGATTCTGATGCCTGTTGTAGTTTGAAATCCACTGACATAGAACCTGACTTGTTCCATAGCAGGTGCTGAATACGGATTAGTTTCCTTTTCTTAGGTACTGAGTCACCATCGTGACAAAAACCCAGTTCCTACCTTCACAGAACTAACAAAGAAACATAAAATTTTATCCCAAATAGATTTCCATTCTATTATCCAATTACTACATGAAGCAAAGAGAAATATCTTTTACTTTGTTCAAGACTTTGCCTTTAAGAGCATGATTAAAATAGATTCCTATCATCTCATTGTGTGCATAATAAATACAATAACGCAGCTCTGGTTTACTTGATGACATTATTTAAAAAGTACCTGCCAATTCAAAATTTTAGATGTGTTGTTAAACTAAACACTGAAAAAAATAGATTCCATTTCACAAAAGATACAATTTTCTTGTAGATAAAAGAAAAACTGGAGCTTTTCCAAAACTGCAGAATATTCATTTTCAAGGGAAAATAGCAGAAAAATACAAAATAAAAAAAAATGAATGGGAAGCCTTGAGTTCCTCTTGGTTCCTTTGAATAAAAAGCACTATGGATTTATTTTGAACAGCTGTGTTTGTAGGGTTTGCAGATCACTGCAGCTGTACCAGCTGAGTAACAGGAAGGTTAAATTTATAAAAGTTAACTTGGAAATGTGCTGGCTCTTTCCAAGGAGTTAATGATATTGTACCCTTTTTCTCCCTGTCTTCCTCTAAAACCTGCTGTTGTGAAGGTACATTTAGGTCATTAAACATTGGAGCCCTGGAAGAGCTGCCTGAAGTGAATAAACCTGCTTTCCTTCTAGACCCTGAGAAATACTTTAGGAAAGAACCAGAGGAAGAGCGTCCCCAAATTCTGGAGGCCCCGTCACTTTTTAAAAGTAAGTTCTCAGCCATCATACACCTCTATTATCCCTCTTCAGGAAACTTAGTCATTTAAAAATAGAGTAGAAGAGCATGAAAATAACAAGTGTTTGTCTTGTAGTTTGCAGTGAAACAAAGTGTGGTTTGACTGTTAAGATTTATAGTTCAGCTGCTGAAGTGTGCTCTCAGATAGGAGAGCCAACAGGCTGGGATATATGAAATGAATATTTTTATTTTGTTCCTTTTCTGAAGTTAGAATGCCATGAACATGTATCTATGAATCTTCCGTGGATGAGAATCTCTCTCCCCAAATAACCTTAATTTTCAAAACTGATGCTGGAGGAAGCCATCATAAGACCACTTTAGAACACAGTGTCTGGCAATCTTGTTTTATTTTCATGTGAAACACTCTAAATAGAGACGACTTAAAATGTATTGTCTTAAAGTCTTCCAGCTGCAGTGGTAGGCTGGTGTGGTGAGAAGACAAGAAAGCTTAAGTTAGAAACTATAAGTGAATGATCCCTAAAGATATAGAAACAAGATGTACAAAATAATTCTTTATTTTTCAGACTATTATAGTCTTCAGAGTTCTTAAAAGTTTGAGGAATAATTCTGTAGAAAAATTCTTCCAGCAAAGAGGGGTCCTGTGAAAGAACAGGTAACACAACCTGATTCTCAGTGAAGCACTCAGAAAGCACATGGACACTGCAGGGGAAGCTCATTTAAAATAATTAATAAAAAGTTTAAGTTTTCAACTTGTAACAATCAGAAAAAATCAGAATTAAATGAAGCTATCTGAGATCTGTGGTTTCAAAACTTCTAAAATCCTCTGAGCTGGGGTTCAACATCATCCTTGAGAAATAATAATGTTTGCAGTAGAAAGATGTTTCCTTATGTCCACAGTTAGGGGAGTTTAAGAGTCTCCTCTTTGCTTTGTCTCTTATGGAAAGGGAGAACAGCTGGTCAACATTTTTGTTGTTGTTGAAATTCTACTTATAGGCAAGGTACAGCTGTCATACTTCATTACCATAGTTTACAGTCTAATTATTATCAGGTTTTGTTTTTTTTATTTTAAAAAACATTTTCTTAGAATTTCTCTTTGCTTGCTCTTGTGAGGGCAATCTATGGTTTCTACTCATTTCTCTTAAAAACGAAGCCATAACTTTAGGGCTCTTTTGGGGGCTCAGAAAATGATACTCCAAAATATGCCACTTTGGCATGTTGAGTGCTTTGAACAAAGTGGATTGAAAGGCCTCGGAACCAGTCTCTCTCTTACCTTCTCCTGCTGTCTACCCCACTTTTCCTTTCAAAGTTCAGGGAGGGCTCTCTCTGAAATTCCCTTATCTGACTGAGGAGGGTTCTTCCTAAAGAAATGCAACTGTATTGAACCCCCTCTCTAGGAATCTCATCAAACAACCAGGAAATGTTATTTATCAGAGGAGAAATTAAAAGTCATTACCACACCTAAACAGGCTATTGCCTATTTCTCTGGAGGGTGCTCTAAAATAACTCTTTTTTAACCTAAGAGACTACCTGCATAATAAGACAACCTTTGTTCACAGTGCAGTTCTACCCCTCACCTTTTAAAACTTGTCATCACCTCCCCCAGAGCACAGAGAAACTTTGTCCCAGGCTATTTTCTGTTCCTTGGACTCATTCATTTCCTTTAGAAAGTATTTACTCTTCCTCTAAAATTGGCTACCCCTCTCACCCTCCCCCCTCCACCCTGCCATTTGCCATTTCCCTCTTCTCTGTGAATAGGGTATTTAAGCTCCAACCCTCAGGCCCTTCTTTGAGTCTCATATTTTGTGGGGTTTTCATACATATGTGTACATTAATACATTTGTATATTATTCCCTGTTAATCTTCATATTTTCAATTTACTTCAATAAGCTCAATTGCCCAACCTCCAGAGGGAAGGTTTAAACTTCTCTACAGCTCTAAATAACTCTTAGTGTGTCTGATAAGGATTTCAGTCTGTCATCCCATCACTTTTCACCAGGATGATTCACCTTTAAGAATGAAATGGGGGCTGGGCGCGGTGGCTCATGCCCGTAATCCCAGCACATTGGGAGACCGAGGCAGGTGGATCAAGAGGTCAGGAGATTGAGGCCATCCTGGCCAACATGGTGAAACTCTGTTTCTACTAAAATACAAAAAATTAGCCAGGCATGGTAGCACGTGCCTGTTTTCCCAGCTACACAGGAGGCTGAGGCAGGGGAATCTCTTGAACTCGGAAGGTGGAGGCCGAAATTGTGCCACTGCACTAGCCTGTTGAAAAAAAAAAAAAAAAAGAATGAATATGGGAAGTACTTATCTTGTCTTTGTGAGCCACAAACAGACATGAAACAGGAATGACCAGTAAAAAAAGATCCAGACATAGGACAAAGTTGTAAAGATAGTCCAGATACAGGGTAGGCATTCAGGAGGAAACCAAGACAGAAAATGGATTCAGAATTGAGGCAAGATGAAGAGGAGACAGAGAATATGCAAAAGCTGGAGAGGAAAGAAGCAAAAGAGACAGGTAAATAATGAGAGCAGCAAACACCTCTCTTCAGTGGTGAGAGTTCCTGCTTCTATGAAGAATCTTTTATATAATCTGTGGCAGAAGGAAGCCACAGATGAATTCTTCATATGGGCAGGGAAAAAGTGTGGGCAAAGAGGTGGGGTTAATGGCTGGGCAGAAATAACCAAAATACCTAAAAGACTCTAATAAATTCTCAAAGAGAATTTTTTCCCCTGGATTTCTTATTAAAATTTCCTGTAACTTCCCCAAAGTTTTTAAAAGATGTTTTCTTTCTTTTGGTTTTTTATTTTCTTTCTTCAATTTTTCTTCCTTTACTTCCCTGTTTTGAAAATATTTCCTCTTACTTGCCCTTTCTGCAAGTGAAAATAATTTTCTTTTAAAAGCTTCACCAACTTGTGAGAGAAAAAGATGCAAATTATTGATGACTACTTGCGAGAGAAAATGATGCAAATTATTGATGACATATGACACCACCAATGAGGTTCCATGAAAATGCCAGGAAAAAAGTTCGATTCATTCTGGCTGGAGCATAGGAAAGAATTCAGTCACATTTGAGCTGGGACTTAAAGGATGAGTAGGAGGTCAAAGGTGAGGGAGAAAACAAGGAAATAGTGAGGAAGGACATATCAAGGTTGAGGAAGGAGCAGAAGTCAAAATGAACCCAAGTTGGCTACAATGAATGACTTCAGATATTGAGACATTAACTGAGTTTTACATTTACCTCTCGTTAGTAGAGGTAAAGTCAAATGTGTTTGGAATGTGTTAAGTTTGGGGTACTGATGCACCATTTACAAATAAAGTTCTGGAGGACTGAAGCAGATTGTATATACACTCTGTGATATCATAGAGTCTTTGACAAGCAGATACTGAAATAATGTTTGTTCATTTTTGTATTTAGCTTTTCCTAGGATAGATATTACATATAGTAGCATTTGTGCTGGATGCTAAAGACGCAGAGATAATATGTAGATACCTAGCCTTCAGAGATCTTGACATTGAAGTGGGGAAATAGATAAGTAGACAAATAATTATATTCTACAACGAGGGCTATGGTAGAGATAAGTACTGCATCCTATGGGAACACATGAAAATTCAGAGATGACTTTTCAGGGAAACCAGAGTATACCCGAGCTAGATGTTAAAAGTTAAGTTGCTATGAGCCAGGTTAAAAAAAAAAAATAGCGGGGGATGATACTCTGGTAGAGGAGTGGTATAAGCAGCTCTAAGGTGGTATGAATAATATGGTGTGCTAAGAAAGCTACATGTAGTTCCCACTGGCTGGGTTCTAGAAGGAGCATGAAGAAAATGAGGCTAGACAGGTAGGTGGGGGCCAGACCACAGACCATCTAGTAAACTATGCTAAGGACTCGGCATTTATTTAATCAGAAATAGGGAGCTATTGAAATATTTTAATCAATCATTCTGAATTATATAATTTTATATCCTATATTACCTCTTCAATGTTCATATTTATTTGTATTATTCTTAAAGTGATTGTTCTAGAAGTTACAATGCTCTTTCTTGTGCTCTTTATTCCTTCTTATGGCACTAGACTTTCATCTGAGACCATTTTCCTTCAGTCTGAAGAATTTTCTACAGAATTTCTTAAAATATGGGCCTGCTTGTGAATAATTTTCCCAGCTTTTACATGTCTGAAAAATGCATTTATTTCATTTTGACTCTGAAAGGATTTTTCATTGGATTTGAAGCTCTAGATGTCAGGGTTGTTTTGTTGCTTTTTTTTTTTTTTTTTTTTTTTCAAATTTTTAAAGTTAACTTATTTCCCTGCATCCATAGTTCCTGTTTAAAATCCTGCTCTTAATGTTATTGATGCATCTTATTCTGGCTGCTTTTAAAATACTTCTCTTTAGCCTTGGTTTTCAGATGTTTTACTGTGATGAGTCTAAGTACTGTTTTTTTTGTGTGTGTATTTATGCTACTTGGAGTTCATAGAAATTTATCAAATGCATCTTTTTTCAATTTTGAATACTTCTCAGCCATTATCTTTTTTCAAATTATGTTTTATTCTCATTCCTGCTCTCTTCTGTTATGGAATAGCAATTACACATATGTTAGACTGTTTAATTATATCACAAATGTTTTTGATGCTCTTTTAATAAGTGGAATTAAATAATGGAATAAATAAAATGGAAAAACATTTTATTTCCTTAGGTTGGCTTCAGTTTGTATATTTTATATTGACCAGTCTGCTTTTAAGCCCATCTAATCAGTTCCCAGTTTCAGATTATATATGTATGTATATCTGAAATTATATATATACACACATATTTATATACTTTCAGTTTTAGAATGCCACTTGAATCTCTTTTATACAGATTCTAGTTCTCAGTTAAATTTTTCTCATCCATTTTGTTCATCTTTTCCCTCTGTTTTTGAAACATGTTTATAATGGTAATTTTTAAAGTCTTGGTTGACTAACTCCAAAATCTGGATAATCCCTGGGTCTGCTTCTAATATATATATTTTTCCTCTTGGTTTTTAGTCTCATTTTTCCTGCTTCTCTGCAAGTCCTATAATTTTTTATTGTATGACAGAAAATTTAAAAGATCTATAGACACTGAAATTAATATTCTTTTCTGTCAGCAATGGTTCACTCTTTTCCTTAATTCGGCAGAGAGAATGAGACACTGATGACCTTAATCTAATTAGTACTTGAGCCGGGTCAGTGCTGAGGTACAGATTTAGTTAGGCTTAGTCCACTTCTGATTTCAAATGTCTGCTTTAGGCTTCTCCTTTTAGTGGGGTATTGTCTCCCACGTACTGCAAAACTGCAGAAAACATTACTCTGCATTTTCAGTCCAATCCACAGTCTCCCACACCACCCCAGGGCTCAGAGAATGTCCTATGGGAAAGACTGGCCAAAGCTGTGACATTTCTCTAGATTCCAATACATCACACCAACCCACATAGCCATCAAAACACTTCCAAATTTACTTTCCCATGAGAGAGTCTCTCAGTCGAATGCAGGTCTGTTTCTTAGCAATGCCAAAACATAATAAATCCCCAGAAAGAAGAAAATACTTGGCAATTTTAGCTCATCTAGGAAGGGCCCTACCATCTCTGGAATTTAGTTATTTTGGTCATCACTGCTTCCACGGCCTTCTGATGGCTTTAAACATATCATTTGTAATTTATCTGTTTTTTTTTTTCCTATCTGGTGCAGTGAGAATGATAACCTGCAACTACCTATTAAATCCTATCCAGAAAGAAAATTCCTGTTGAAATGTTTAAAACAAGAAAGTGTCATGACCAGATTTGCATTTTAGAAAGCGTTCTGAAAACTGCGGTAGATGCCTTATAATGGGGCTAGACTGAAGGCAGCAATATTATAGTAATGGGAACTTGCTGTGTGCAGTCAGCTCTCTGCTTTTGAATCATCACTTCGCCTTCTACTATTTGTTTATATCTGAATAAATTATTCACCCTATTCAGTCTCAGTTTATTTTTCATCTGTAAAATTGGGATAATGATGCCTGCCTCTTGGAGTTATGTGGGTTAATTATAGCACAATAGCTAGCACACTAACCATTCACTAGATGATGTCTATTATGATTTTGAAGATAAGGAAAACCTAGAAAGGAAATAACTAATTTGAGAGATATTAAGGAGTTTGAATTTAAAGGATTATGTGCCCAATAAGAGATGAATACATGTATGCCGATCAGTCTTCTAGTTTGGATATCTATGTTGAGGTAAAAAGACTATCATTTAGAGAGGAAATACAGACGAAGATGGGATAGAGTTAGAAAATGACATTAGTTTCTAAGATATGTTGAGATGGAGGTGCCTATGGGACACCTACTAAAGAAAGCTGACACCTTTCTGAGAAACTAGCCATCATAGAAAGGAAAAAGAATAAGTGATAACTGAAAAGAAACTATAGTTGATAGACATGTTTAAAAATTAGGTTCAATATTTTTGTTCTGATTTTATATTTGATACATGCGTATTATAGAAAATTGACTAGTAAGAAGTAAACAGAACTCTAAGGAATATAGGAATAGGAAAATGAAAGAGCAGCCACTACTTCTCATGCCTGAGATATATTGACCAAGGAAGAGTCCCACCCATCCCAGGGCTGAGCAGTGTTTTCCATGCCTCACTGAATGGCAAACCCACGGAGATGCTGTACGTGGAAGTTACCAGAAACCACCACCAGGGTTCCAGGA